>NW_016107310.1:0-223118 GCF_000001405.40 Homo sapiens | reverse complement strand
CGGCAACAAAAGCCAAAATTGACAAACGGGATCTAATTAAACTAAAGAGCTTCTGCACAGCAAAAGAAACTACCATCAGAGTGAACAGACAACCTACAAAATGGGAGAAAATTTTCGCAACCTACTCATCTGACAAAGGGCTAATATCCAGAATCTACAATGAACTCAAACAAATTTACAAGAAAAAAACAAACAATCCTATCAAAAAGTGGGCAAAGGACATGAACAGACACTTCTCAAAAGAAGACATTTATGCAGCCAAAAAACACATGAAAAAATGCTCACCATGACTGGCCATCAGAGAAATGCAAATCAAAACCACAATGAGATACCATCTCACACCAGTTAGAATGGCGATCATTAAAAAGTCGGGAAACAACAGGTGCTGGAGAGGATGTGGAGAAATAGGAACACTTTTACACTGTTGGTGGGACTGTAAACTAGTTCAACCATTGTGGAAGTCAGTGTGGCGATTCCTCAGGGATCTAGAGCTTGAAATACCATTTGACCCAGCCATCCCATTACTGGGTATAAACCCAAAGGACTATAAATCATGCTGCTATAAAGACACATGGACACGTATGTTTATTGTGGCACTATTCACAATAGCAAAGACTTGGAACCAACCCAAATGTCCAACAATGATAGACTGGATGAAGAAAATGTGGCACATATACACCATGGAATACTATGCAGCCATAAAAAATGATGAGTTCATGTCCTTTGCAGGGACATGGATGAAATTGGAAATCATCATTCTCAGTAGACTATCACAAGGACAAAAATCCAAACACTGCATGTTCTCACTTATAGGTGGGAATTGAACAATGAGAACACATGGACACAGGAAGGGGAACATCACACTCTGGGGACTGTTGTTGGGTGGGGGGAGGGGGGAGGGATAGCATTAGGAGATATACCTAATGCTAAATGACGAGTTGATGGGTGCAGCACACCAGCATGGCACATGTATACATATGTAACTAACCTGCACATTGTGCACATGTACCCTAAAACTTAAAGTATAATAATAATAAAAATTTAAAAAAAAAGCTCATCAGAAGCACTATACAAAAAAAAAAAAAAAAAAAGAAGTAACCCAGGCTCAAGTGTTCTTTTATAGCAACAAAAATGGACTAAGACAGCAACGTCCTGAGATCAGGAGGAACGTCTCAGAACAGCCTGTGCTGTCTTCCTGTTCTTCCTGGAGGAGGACGTCATGCAGTGCTTTAGCTGAGTGCTTCCTGTGGCTTCAGGGTACGAAACCCAGGCTGGGCTATTTTCTGGCTTCCCCCAGATACACTGCAAATGAGGTGACTCCATATGTCCCGAGAAGCTTTTCTGAGCCTTGAGGGACTGGCTCACATTGAAATGTAGGCTTCTGTTGTCACTCGCTGCTTATCTGTTAGTAATGAACCTGCCTATGTAACGTATTCTCTGTGTGTTCTGTCTCCCTGGAGTGACGGTGAGTGATAGAAATTTGCATAGGCCCAGGTGCAGTACAGCAGGTGTTTAGAGTCTTCTCTGGAAAGACTGAACTGGGATTGATACACAGTGAATGTGCTTTACAGTTTCTACATCCACAACCCTCTTGACTCAAATTACATTCTCCAAGAAAAGGACACAAAAGTGAAATCAAGATCAAAAAAGCAAAGTAGAATTCTCTTATGTCAAACAGCCAGGAAATAATGATGAAGCCCATGTGAAACGTGCTACTCTTTGTGATCTCGCGAGACACATGTTAGGCTGCTGTTCCACCTGAGAGGCTGGGGGAAAGACCACCCCCTCCACCATCTATTGCTTCAAAACCACCTGTCCTCCTGTGAATTAGTAGGAAAGGGGAGCAGGAGCTAGTGCTGGTGCTGATCTCTGATTCCAAGATCTGAACTCACTCCAAGGAGTATTAGCGTTTACCTCCCCATGATCTATCTGTATCTCCACAGGTGATTGGAAGTAGGGGTGAGGTGGGGGATTTGGGTGAGGGGGCAAGTTTCTTGTGATGAACAGAGCACTTTCCCTATTTCAGGGCCTGTGCTGGTGGGTTCAGGGGGCTTTCATATTTTCCATATGATCTCATGTTCACAGAAAGCCAAATATGGAAGAGGTTTTAGGCTGATTTTCTAATGGATAAGATAAAGGATCAAAGAAGTAATTATAGAGAAATAGAAAAATGATGATTGGAATTCAGGTGCCTGCATCATTTGTGTATATTATTATATTTATGTATTTTTTATTTTTATTTTTTGAGCCAGAGTATCCCTGTGTAGCCCAGGCTGGTGTGCAGTGACGCGATCTCCACTCACTGCAACCTCTGCCTCCAGGGCTGAAGTCATTCTCCTGCTTCCTCCTCCAGAGTAGCTGGGATTACAGTCATGCACCACCATCATGCCTGTTTAATTTTTGTATTTTTAGTAGAGATAGGGTTTCTCCATGTTGGCCAGGCTGGTCTCGAACTCCTGACTTCATGTGATCCACCCGCGTTGGCCTCCTGAAGTGCTGGGTTACAGGCGTGAGCCACCGTTCACAGCCTTGTATATTATGCTATACTAGGTCCCTTCATTTGCACCACCCCTCATCTAGCTCTCCCTCCTCTGCCAGGTATTGATTTAGATGCAGGAGAAATAAATCTCAGAAATAAGTTAGTGAAGCGAGGATTAAACTACCAGGAAAAAATCAAACCCAGCAAGCCTTTCCAGCCAATGATTCTACCTCACAAACATATCTTATATCCATCTACTTCATTCATTTAGTGTCTAAATCAGCACCACATTTCACCAGTGGGGCGGGAATTGCCTTTTCCACGGTCTCCTAGATTCCAGTTACGCACCTGGGCCTCCCTTATTTTCATGTCAGTCATATTAATCATGTAGGGATTCCTGGTTACCCCGAGGTGAGTCCAATGGCTGTGAGTGTCAAACACACACTCCTTGTTGCTCCTTAGTTTCCTGTGTACCCAGTGTGCTCTCCGTCTCTCTACAGTCGTCTTGTCATTCTCCCCACGTCATTCCCAGCATTTGAGGCAGAGCCTCTTCCTTCAACATCAGATTATTTTCACCTTTGTGCCTTCACGGCTGACAGCTGTGTGTGCAAAATCCTTCCGCCCATCTTTCAGGGGTTCAATCCGTGTTTTTCATTAATGTCACAAATATCTGATTAGTGAGAACTTCTCTGTCACCTGAAATCATACACTCAGCATTATCTATTATTGATTTGAAAATTTGGCTTGGCCCCGTGGCTCATGCCTCTTATCCCAGCGTGTTGGGAGGCAGAGGCTATTGGATCACCTGAGGTTGGGAATTTGAGACCAGCCTGGCCAACATGGTGAAACATCCTCTCTACAGAAAATATGCAAAAAGAGTTAGCCGGGCGTGGTGGTTGTGGTCTGTAATCCCAGCTACTGGAGAGGCTGAGGGAGGAGATCCGTTCAGCCCAGGAGGTGGAGGTTGCAGTGAGCCGAGATCATGCCACCGCACTCTAGCCTGGACGACAGAGCAAGGCTCCGTCTCAATAAACAAGTAGGTAAATACATAAATAAATAGATTTCATGCACAGATGCTTCTCAATAGATCATTCATTTATTGGTCCCCTTGTGCCTACATTTTCTGCCCTCCCATTTAACCATCTGCAAGATCAGTGTCCCAAGAACAGAGGCCAAATGCATCTTGTTCACTGTTTGTGGAAGGCAGGAGAATGTTGTCCCACCCCAAAAATGTCCATGTCCTAGCCTCCATAGCTTGTGAATATGTTATTTTACATGAAAGGAGGAATGAAGATTGCAGATGGAATTATGGTTGCTAGTCAGCTGAACTTAAAAGGAGGGTATCCTGGATGATTTCCGGGAGATTATGATGGATTTTCATCTTGGTGAACCCAATAGAATCCCCAAGTTTTCAAAAGAAGGGGAAGAAGGGAGAGCAGCATTCAGAGAAAGAGGTGTGGTAAGGAAGAAGGGTCTGAGTGATGCCATGTGAGATGTGACCAGTCTTTGTGGGCTTTGAGGAAGGAGGAAGGGTACCAGGAGCCAAGGAACATGGGAGCCTCTAGAAGCTGAGAAAAGTGAGAAGCAGATTCTTGCCTGGAACCCTCAGAGGGAAGGCAGCCTTGCTGTCACCTTGATTTTAGCCCAGTGACATGCACGTCATGCTTTGAGCTACAGCACTGTAAGATAATTAAATAACCGTTTTGTTTTCACCCACGAATCTTGTGGAAATTTGTTATGGCAACAATAGGAAAAGCTTCCACACTGCACAGCCTGAGCATGGGGCTGTGGCTGAATGAGTCAGTGAGTCGAAGTGTGCGTGCATGAGCTCTGTTCTCTGTTACGGCAAGGCTCTTGCTCTGCTGAGTCAGCCAGGGTTGCCTGATGACCAACAGTAATTCATTCCTTGGCAAGTGGAACTTCTCTAAAACACCCACCCTCATCAGATGTTCCCTTCCCTTCCCTCTCTCAAGCCCCCGGGAATTTATCCTCCAGTTAGGAATGCAGGCAGAAAAAACACTGCATTTTTCCTGAGAAGGATGTCAGATTGGCAATTATTCTTCTAGCTTGTAGGAGGTCTCACCTGCAGGAAATTAAAGGTAAAGAGACTTCGCTGAGCCCTTTGGTGGCCCTAGATCCCTTTCACTGTTGGAGTGTCTGGAGTTCAGAGATGGTGGAAGACAGGCCCTCATTCACAGAGCTGGGAGGTTTGAGCCAACACTTGCATCCAAGGCTTCCACCTCCCCAGGTTTCCAAAAGCAGAGATAAGAGGGGTCCTTTACTCACCAGATTTGGAGCTTGGTTCTGTGGGTGAAGGCCAACTACTTGAAGGGTTTCCTAGAACACGGGACAGGAGAGATGTGAGGAAATGAGGGTGCTTGTCCTCTACTCAATGGAAATCTTTGAGGTTGGTTCATGGCCAACACTCTGTTATCTAATGTTGGACCCTGGGAGTCTTGGGATCCTTTTCTCCATAATTTTTGTGTGCGATGCCCACTGTCTTGAGACTTGAAGGTATAAAGAGAAAACAGGAGCATCACACTACCTGACTTAGAAATATGTTACAGAGCTGTAGTAAGCAAAACAGCATGACATTGGCATAAAGAAAGGCACATAAAAAATGGAACAGAATGGAGAACACAGATATAATCCATGCATTTACATCCAATGGCTTTCTTTTGTGTGTGTGTGATGGAATCTTGCTCTGTCATGCAGGCTGGAGTGTAGAGGTGCAATCTCAGCTCAATGCAACCTCCACTTCCTGGATTCAAGAAATTCTCTTGCTTCAAACTCCTGAGTAGTGGTATTACAGGCACTGATCACCATGCTCAGCTAATTTTTGTATTTTTAGTAGAGACGAGGTTTCACTCTGTTGGCCAGCCTGGTCTTGAACTCCTGGCTTTAGGTGATCCACCCGCCTCGGCCTCCCAAAGTGCTGGAATTGCAGGTGTGAGCCACCATGCCCAGCCCATTTAATGGACTTTGACAAAGGTGCCGAGAACTTACAATCAAGAAAGGACAGTCTTCAATAAATGGTGTGGGGAAAACTGGATATCTACATGCAGAGGAATAAAACTGCATCTATACCTGTCACCTTACACAAAAATCAAATGAAAATGGATTAAAAACATGAGTCTAAGGCCTGAACCTATGAAACATGTAGAAGAAAATAATGGGGAAGACATTTGTCTGACGAAAGACATTTTGTTTAAAACCTTCAAAACACAAGTAATCAAAGCAAAAAATAGACCATTAGGATTACATCAAACCAAGCAACTTCTGCACCACCAAAGATAAACCAACAAAGTGAAGAGACAACCCACAAAATAGGAGCAAATATTTGCAAACTATTCATCTGAGATGGGATTAATAACTGGAAATATAAGAAGCTCAAACAACTCAATAAAACAATTTAATTAAAAAACGAGCAAAAGACATGAGGAGACATTTCTCCACAAACAAAACATAGAAATGGCGATCACGTATATGAAAAAGTGCTCAGCATCACTCATCATCACAGAAATGTAAATTACAATCGCGATGAGTTTTCATCTCATCCCATTAAAATGCCTTTTAGGCCGGTGGCTCACGCCTGTAATTCCAGCACTTTGGGAGGCGGAGGTGGGCGGATCACCTGAGGTCGGGAGACCAGCCTGACCAACATGGAGAAACTCCCTCTCTACTAAACATACAAAAATTAGCTAGGCGTGGTGGCACATGCCTGTAATCCCAGCTACTTTGGAGGCTGAGGCAGGAGAATCAGTTGAACGCGGGAGGCAGAGGTTGCAGTGAGCCGAGATCACACCCTTGCACTCCAGCCTGGGCGACTATGAGTGAAACTCCATCTCAACATAAATAAATAAATAAATAAATAAAGTAAAATGGCTTTTATCTGCAAGACAGGCAAAACAAATGCTGGCAAGATGGTAGAGAAAGGAGAACCCTGGTACCCTGTTGGTAGGAATGTAAATTAGTACAACTATTATGGAGAAAAGTATGGAAAAACTTTAAAAAACTAAAAGGAGGCTGGGCATAGTGGCTTATGCCTGTAACTTCAGCACTTTGGGAAACCGAGGCAGGCACCTCACTTGAGGTCAGGAGTTTGAGAGCAGCCTGCCCAAAATTGGGATATCCCGTCTGTGCTAAAAAATACAAGAATTAGTCAGGCATGGTGGCGTGCACCTGTAATCACAGCTATTAGGGAGGCTGAGTCAGGAGAATCGTTTGAACCTAGGAAGCAGAGGTTGCAATGAGCCAAGATCGCACCACTTTGACTCCAGCTTGGACTAAGGAGGGAAACTCTTTCTCAAAAAAGAAAAAAAAAAAAGAGAACTTTCATAGTGTCCAGCAATTTCACTACTGGGTTTATATCCAAAGGAAAGGACATCAGTGTATCGAAGTGATATCTGCACTCATATGACTGTTCCAGCACTGTTCACAGTAGCCAAGATGTGGAGTCAACCTACCTGCCTATCAGTGGGTGAATGGATAGAGAACTGTAGTACACACACACGGTGGAGACTACTCATCCATAGAAACAATAACATCCTGTCATTTGCAGCCACATGGATGGAACTGGAGGTCATTACAAAGATTCCCATTTCTCACCACATGCAGGAGATAAAAGGTGGATCTCATGAAGGTAGAGAATAGAATGGTGGATACCAGAGGCCAGGAAGGGAAGGGTGGAGGGTAACAAAAAAAAGAATATAGATGTATTTATTTATTTAGAAACAGAGTCTCTCTCTGTCTCCCAGGCTGCAGTGCAGTGGCATGATCTCGGCTCAGTGCAACCTCTGCCTCCTGGCTTTAAGTGCTTCTCCTGCCTCAGCCTCCCAAGTAGCTAGGACTACAGGTGCATGCCGGCATGCTTGGCTAATTTTTCTTGTCTGTTTAGTAAAGATGAATTTCCCGCATGTTGGCCAGGCTGATCTCGAGTCCCTGATCTTAAATGATCCACCTTTCTTGGCCTCTCAAAGCGCCAAGATTACAACCGTGAACCACCACACCCAGCATATAAAGGTATTTATGACCACTAGATTTTACTTTTAAAAATGGTAAAGTTGGTAAATTATATAGTTACATTTAACCTCAATAAATATTTTTGAAAATGAAAAGAAAAGAGTGTAGGGGTTGCTGGTGATGACATCTCTCTGTGTGGGTGAGAGGCCAGGATGGGCTTCTGGGAAATGGGTAAGGTTGAGGGGCTGAGGGAACCTCTGATCTCCCCAAACTGAGCCCAGTCTCCCCTTCTCTGGGTCTGTCCTGACCGCTTTCTCCATCTGCCTGGGTGCCTGGAGCCCTGACCATGGGCCTCCATGCAGGCCATGCAAGAGGGTTTGGAGGTGCCCTGTCTGCCATCCTGCACCCTGACCCCCCCTTCACACCCAGTCTTCGTGTTCTCTCTGCATCTGTCCATGCTTCTCCCCATCATCGGCAGGAAGCTCCTCAGCTATGGCTCTAGGATCATAAGACATGGGACAGACACGGGTTTTCCTCACCTGTGACAGAAACAAGCAGTGGGTCACTTGAGTTTGACCACACGCAGGGCAGGGCACGGAAAGAGCCGAAGCATCTGTAGGTCCCTCCGTGGGTGGCAGGGCCCAGAGGAAAGTCTGCCTGGAATGTTCTGTTGACCTTGGGCACTGCACGGAGCCTACGTTCATGGGCCTCCCCTTCCCTGGACAGATGGTAGATGTCATAGGAGCTCCAGGAGCTACAGGACAAGGTCACGTTCTCTCCTGCCTGAACCGTGGGGCCCGGCTGGGCTGAGAGAGAAGGTTTCTCATATAGACCTGGAAGGAGAAGAGGCAGTTTCCTCAGGGAGGTTCTTCCTTGTCACAGCTCCCCTCATACCTGAGCTGAGAACTCACTCCCCTGCTCTATGACCTAATGCTCTCTCTCTCTCTCACCCTCCA
Organism: Homo sapiens; assembly: GCF_000001405.40. NCBI lineage: Eukaryota > Metazoa > Chordata > Mammalia > Primates > Hominidae > Homo > Homo sapiens. The sequence continues at coordinate 214,721 of NW_016107310.1, read as the reverse complement.
CCCCAACTCTCTTCATGTCTATTTCCTCCTTCCGCCTTCTCTGTCTCTCTAGGTCTCTGACCTCACTTCCCCACCCCTGGGTATGCTTTCCCTTTTTGGATTGTTTTATTCTCTCTGACTCTCCTTGGATTGGTTGACTTGATCTTCCTTTTTCTATAATTCTGAGTCTCTCACTTTCTGTCTTGTTCATAACTTTCTGCATATTTCTATCTATTATCTATCTATCTATTTTGTGTCTATCTACAAATTATCTGTCATCTATATCTATGTATCATTTATCTATCAATTGTCTATCTGTCTATCCATCAATCATCTATGTATTATCTGTATCTATGTATCATCTCTCTCTCTCTCTATTACCTCTCTGTCTGCCTGTCAGTCTCTATGTATCATCTATGTATCTATATATTTATATATGTGTCTTCTATCTATCTATCTTCATCATCATCATCATCATCATCTCTATGTATCATCTATCAATCATCATCTATGTATCTATAACCTATCCATTATCTATCATCTACCTATTTATCATCTATCTATATCTATCTATCCATCTATCATCTGTCTCTCTCCATCTCCTTGTCTTTCTCTGCCTCTCAGTCTCTCTAGTTCTATTTGGAATCTCTGCAATCCATCCCCACATCTTTATCTTTCTCTGTCTTTGTGCCCCTCCCTCAGGGTTCTGATTTTGGGGCTTTTCTCTCCTCCCTTCCAGCATTCTCTCCACTCCTCTGCCCTCTTTTCTTTCTTTTTGTGTGTCTGTGAGTCTCTCAATCCCCTTCCTCTGGCTCATTCTCTGTGTGTTTATGCCTTTGCTTTTTGAAGTCCCTGATTTATCTCTGTGTCTCTCAGTGATCCTATTATATGTAGGATTATTTGGAATATGAGCCTCAGAATCTAGTCTGGGGACACCAAGTACACACAGTATTTAGGGGTTGGTGTTCTGGGGCCATGATATCCTGGGATAATTATGGCTCCACTGCATGGAAGGCAGAGGTGTCAGAATAAACATGGCATCTGTAGATGCCACAAGGCCTGAGGCCACAGGGCCCAACTCAGGTCAGAAATATGGGTGTCCTTGGGTTCTCCTCGTAGAAGCACTTTGTGGAGACAAAACAGAAATGAAACTTCTAACCTGTGCCAGGTCTCTGAGCAAAGTCAGCATGGAAGGACACTTCTCTCTGGCACATGTCTGTCTGTCTGAGTGTCTCCTTTACCTCTTTCTCTCTTTTCTACTTCCCCGTATGGCCCCTGTGTCTGTCCTCTGTTATGACACCTGGTCTGTACTTATGTCTCCTGTTTCCCTGTCTCTGTTGGTACAGACCTCACCGAGTCAGTCTCTCTCCATAAGAATCTCACGCTTATCTTCCTCATGACCACCTGGGGGTTCCAAGTCCTGGATCATTCACTCTGTGTCCCAATGACAATGAGAAGAATGTCTGGACACTCTCACCTGTGATCACGATGTCCAGGGGGTCACTGGGAGCTGACAACTGATAGGGGGAGTGAGGAACAGAACCATAACATCTGTAGGTTCCTGCAAGGACAGGCATCAAGGGACCGATGGAGAAGTTGGCCTTGGAGACCCCATCATGGATCTGTCCAACGAGGCGTGAGGGGTCCTCAGAGATCCCCTCTCTGTGCAGAAAGAAGTGCTCAAACATGACATCTGACCAACATTGCAGGATGACTGTCTCTCCTGATTTCAGCAGGGGCCCTGGGTGGGCCAGGAGGGAAGGTTTTCTGTGGTTTCCTAGAAAGAGAAGTTGTGAGTTTAGAAGGCATCTCTCTTTATCATCCCATCCATGGCACCTGGAATGAGTGAGGGTTCCCCTCCCAGAGGTCTGTCTCTCTCCTCCCTCTCTGTGTCTCCGTGTCTTTTCTGTGCCCATATCCCCTGGTGCAGGTCCCTCCATTTGTCTTCCTCCCTCTTCTCTGTCCCTCTGTCTCCAGTAGCCCCTGACTCCCTTCCCACTGTGAAGAGAGCCTCATCTCTTGGGCTGTTGTATCTCTTTCCCACTAGTCTCTTTCCTGCTGTCTATGTGGGGGTGGAAGAGGACAGGCTGCATGTCCAGGCTCTCAGCAGCCTGAATCAATCTCTTTTGAACAAATTGGAGTCTCTGGCAGAGGTATCAACTCATCAGTAAGGCAGACATCAGTGTCCACACACCCTGTTCCTGATGGGGATTGGGAGCCTCTCCTGCCATGTCTGTGCCTTCTCCATGGCCCCAGCTTCCATAGGGTGGTCCCTGGTGCTGGTTCCAGGAGCATCAACCCCTTCCTATGTGGATGGAGCCTGGTGGTGGCATCAGCATCCCACCCTTGCTGATCCCACGGTAGCCAACCTTCTCCTTGTTTGGTTTCTTTAATTAATTGATTAATTAATTTATTTTTGAGACAGTCACTTTTTCACCCAGGCTGGAGTGCAGTGGTGTTGTCTTGGCTCACTGCAACCTCTGCCTCCCCGGTTCAAGTGATTCTCTTGCCTCAGCCTCCCCAGTCGTTGGATTACTCGTGCCCACCACCACACCTGGCTATCCTTGTTTGGTTTCCTAGCTTGTCCTTGACCTGGGTTCCTGTGTCGGTTTCCTGTTGCTGCTGCAGAAAATTATCACAAACATGGCAGCAGGAGAGAACACACTGACCCCTTCCACTTCTGGGGACAGAAATTGGATCCAGTTCTCCCTGTGCTGAAATCAAGGCATCTGCAGGGCTGCGTTCCCTCTGGAGACTCAGCGAATCAGTTCTCTTGACTTCTCCAGCCCTTAGAGGCCACCTGCATTCTGTGACTAGTGGCCTTCCTCCACCTTCAAAGCCCACAGTGGCTGATAGCGTCTCCCTCCCACTACACTGCTCTAATCCCCACTCCCCTCTTCCTCCACCTCTCACGCGGACCCTTGTGATTACACTGAGCCCAGCAGGACAGTCCAGGCTGTCTCCCCATCTCAAGGTCAACTCATCAACAACCTGAGCTCCACCTTCCCCTTCAGTCCCCTGCCCTATAACATAAATAGTCACAGGCTCCAGGGTTTACAATGTAGCCATCATTGGCGACAGTTATTCTTCCCACCACAGCGCCCATTTCCCCTGTATTCAATCCCCCTTGACCCCAAATACAGTTGGGGCCTGGGTGATGGGACCCTGATGGACACCCCCACCAGAAGCTCTGGGATTCAGGAGGTGGGACAGTGAGAAGCCCAGACAGAAAGCCTCTGACCTGTGACCATGATCACCAGGGGGTTGCTGGGTGTCGACCACCCAGTGAGGGAGTGTGGGCGTGAACCCCGACATCTGTAGGTCCCTGCATGTGCTGGGGTCACAGGGCCCATGATGAAGCTCTCCTGGAATATTCTGCCGTGGAAGATGGGAACGTGGCTTCTGTCTTCTTTGTACAGCATGAAATTGTTAAACCCACGACGATAGTGACACTGAAGAGCCACGTGTCCTCCTCGAGGCACCACAGTGCTGGGCCGGGCAGACAGGAAGGGTTTGTCCTGACCACCTGGGGGAGAAGGAGGCACTGCCTTAGAGAGGAGGATGTGGAGCCACCCCTCCCTCCCTGTGCTCAGAAGATTCTCCCATTTCCACTTTCTAAGGCTCCTACCACACCTGGGTGCCCAGGGCTACAGGAAGGACCCACCCCACATAGACATGGCGTCTCCCTACAACAAGTGTCAGCTGAGAACTTTGAGCAAGTGCTGAATAAGTGACTCTTACTAGATTTTAATACTGCAAAATTACTCACATAAAACAACACAAAGTAGACACGGCATGGAGGGCATGTCCTATGTGAATGGAATATCAGCCAATTCATGAACTGAGCCCCCTCAGAGGATTTGGAATGTCAGGGCCATGGCTGTGGTTTCCCCCCTCTTCTGGTAGAAAGACCGCAGCCACACTGCAGTCCCTACCGTCACGGAAACGCTGGAGGGTGTCAGTTATACCTTTGTCCTCAGAGGACCTGCTGTTCCTAGCACTGCTTCCCTCTCTTTCTCTGCTGCTGACACCACTTCCTCCCTGCACACCCCAGCTTGGAGCACCCCAGTCTCACCCCAGTCTTCACAGAGCTTGACTCAGGAAAGGGAAAGAAAGGCCGGGGAGGGCGAGGTCAGAAATGTGGGCCGAGTATCCAAGGGTCCCCTCTTCCTAGTTTATGAGAGACTCCCCGACAGGACTTCCCTCCTGTTTCAGAAAAATCCTCTTATGTGGGGAGATGACACCCTAAGGTTTGGGGAAGGACTCACCCATGAGTGGCCAGGCCCCCTGCAGCAAGAAGAACCCTGGAAAGAAAGATCATGATAGACGATCCAACTGCAGGCAAACCAGGGCACCCTGCTGCCCCCACTGCACTGTGTGTCTTGGCAGCCAGGCCCTTGCTGGGCTGAAGGTAAACTTAGCCTCCCTGCTACCTGCTGCCAAGAACAGGGCTCTCAGCTGTGGAGAGACCCAGGCTCCAGGCCCAGATCAACACTTCCTGGCCCAGATCTCCACTCCAGGCCCATATCTCCACTCCAGGCCCCTATCTCCACTCCAGGCCCATATCTCCACATCAGACCCATATCTCCACTCCAGGCCCATATCTCCACATCAGACCCATATCTCCACTCCAGGCCCAGATCTCCCCTCTAGGCCCATATCTCCACTCCAGGCCCATATCTCCACTCCAGGCCCATATCTCCACATCAGACCCATATCTCCACTCCAGGCCCATATCTCCACTCCAGGCCCAGATCTCCACCTGCAGGCCCATATCTCCACTCCAGGCCCATATCTCCACTCCAGGCCCGTATCTCCACTCCAGGCCCATATCTCCACACCCAGGCCCATATCTCCCCTCCAGGCCCATATCTCCACTCCAGGCCCATATTTACACCTCCAGGCCCATATCTCCACACCCAGGCCCATATCTCCACTCCAGGCCCATATCTCCACTCCAGGCCCATATCTTTACCTCTAGGCCGAGATCTCCATCCCCACTCTCCCTCCCTCTATTCCCTTCCAGGACTCACCAACGCACGCCATGCTGACGACAGTGAGCGACATGGTGCTGCCGGTGCAGACAGGAGGCCGCGCCCCAGCTCAGCTCAGCAGCGCACAGGATGTTATTTGGCGCCCTGCCCATGCAGTTTACATGTTGACCACATCATGGGAGGGTGACGTACGCAGGCTCTTTCTACCTTGCATGAGGCCCAGTGGGTGCTCGCTCAAGAGCGGAACATGGCTTCCTGGAAATTGTTGTGACTACAATTGCCACCTTGCATCCTTCACTATGACCAGACTCAAAAGACGTCTCAGATCCAACCTCTCACACATGAGGTGATTGAATTCTGTGCTTACATTAAAGACTTTTGATGTATTTTTGTTTTTATCTGAGATTCAAACTTTTCTTCATGTGTAATGTGCAAAATATCTAAGAGGTATTATTAACATTATCAGAGTAATTGTGACAAAAAGCCATTCTAATTTTCCTGATGAGTTTCTAGTACTAAACCTGAGGCACGAGAATTGCTTGAACCTGGGAGGCGGAGGCTGCAGTGAGCTGAGCTCAAGCCACTGAACTCCAGCTTGGGTGACAGAGGAAGAGTCTGTCTCAAGAAAGAAAAAAAAAAGCAAACTAAATAACCTATAATAACAAATCAGAGAACTCAGGTTACCAAATTTTAAGGGGTTCTATAAGTTTATATGAAATGCAGCATCCTCATGAGAGGGGATACAGAGAACCACTGGGCAGAAAACTGTGTCTAAAATACATCTGTGGATACACAGTCCCTTCATAGTTGACAAAGGCTGCCATGTAGTTTAAGGTGGAATAGAATATTTTCTCAATAAATAACACAGGACCATAGGGTTACACGTAGGAAAAAATAAATCTAAACTTATCCTCACACTATAAAAACACTTCTTATTTTTTATCTTGTTGTTGTAAACTTTTTATGCTTTATTTTTAAGATTGACAAATAAAAATTATATACTGTGGTCCTTCACTATTCCTGGGTGATTGGTTCCAGGATCCCCATTCAGATACCAAAATCTGCAGATGCTCAAGCCCCTTGCATGAAATGGCATAGCGAAGCTGGGCACCGTGGCTCACGCCTGTAATCCCAGCACTTTGGGAGGCTGAGTTGGGTAGATCACGAGGTCAGGAGTTCAAGACCAGCTGGTCCAACATTCTGAAACCCCATCTCTACTAAAAATACACACACAAAAAAATTTATCTGTGCATGGTGGCACGTGCCTGTAATCCTAGGGGAGGCTACTGGGGAGGCTGAGGGAAGACAATCGCTTGAACCTGGGAGGCGGAGGTTGCAGTGAGCTGAGATCATGCCACTGCACTCCAGCCTGGGTGAGAGAGTGAGACTGTCTCAAAAAAAAAAAATAGCATAGTAATTGCATAGAACCCATGCACATCCTCCTGTATACATGAAATCATCTCTTGATTACTTATAATTCCTGACACAGCCTACACGCCACTCAATTTGTGTCGATTCAACATAGTTTTTTGCTTCTTGAAACTTCGGGGATTTTTTTCTGAAAACATTTTTGATTTATTGTTGGTTCAATAAACACCTGTAAACCCCACAGATATGGAGGACCGACTGTATATTTATATTATGAAAGATGATATGTTGATATGTGTCCCCGTGGAGATGAGGCTAACAAGGCCTATGACTCTACAAATGTTTCATCGTGGAATGACTCTGCCAGCTTTCCAGGTCTGCAGAGAGTAAGAATATCACTTGTTCATGTGATTCACGATCCTTGGAGCCTCCTATGTGCTGTATCTTTGGATGGAAATTGGAGTCTCAGAGACAAATCAGGCTCCATTCTGCTTCCAGAAGCTCAGAGTCCAGGGCTGAGAACCCAATGGAGAACAGATGGGGTTATGTGGACATGGTAATGATAACACCGGAAGCCTTAGGCAAGAAAAGAGTCTCGTTACCGAAACCATGAGGGCAGACATGTTTATTTGAAGGCGGGAAAACTACATTGAAATTATTTAAAAAATTTATAAGTTTTACTGCTGGCAGAAGGCTGAAAGATAGTCTGAAGGGAGGTGGAACAGCACGTGTCTAAGTGCTGTGTTAAGAGGCAGCCTCTTGTATGTTTGGAATTGTGAGTTCCTCAGTGTGATTGCAGCCTCAGGTAGACTAGGAAGTAAGCCAGTTAGGTTGGAGAGGTGGGCAGGGGTCAAGTGAAATGGAGAATTGTGGGCTAAGCAAAGGAGTGTGTTTTCTCTCCAGCAGGCAGTGGGGACCTTAGACATTTGTAAGCAAGAGAGAGGCATGTTCAGATTCGTGGTGTGAGGAAGAGCGATGCCCTAAGATGAAGACTGATGCCTTCAGATTCCAGCTGCTGGTACATGGGAGCTGGCAACCCGGTTTTGAGACAGGGCTGTTGTCTCCCTAGAAGATCCCCTCAAGGCCTGACTGTGGTGCTCGTGGACAGAAGACAACTTTGGATCTGGGCTCAGCATTTGGAAGTTCTATGTACATGCTGGTATCTGTTGGGGGTGTCTTGGGCCTCTCAGAAGGGCGAGTGATTTTTCTCTGTGTGAAAACACAGTGATCCAATTATGCGTATGACACCTCCTGATGGTCTTGTTCATCAGAATCCTGGAGAGAGGGAAATGCTGAGTGAGGGAGGGTGCTCACATTTTTCAGGACTCTTTGGGAATAAGACTAGCCACGAGGCTGGGCCGAGGAGCACCTACCTCGCTGTTCACTGTTCTGTTCCCTGCAGGCTCTTGGTCCATTACAGCAGCATCTGTAGAAGACGGAAGTCAACAAAAGAGCTCGGAGGGCACTTCTGGGTCCTCATTTCATAAGCAGATACCAACAAACAGGGGGAGGCCATAGGTGCCTGAGGTCCCTCAGTTGCCAACAGCAGACTCAGACATTCTATCTCTCTGAGTTCAAGGACCCATCCCATGAATAGCTCTGAGGTCCCATCCCATTGATTCTATCTCCCACTTTCTGCCTGTCATGGAACCTTCTCCTGGATGTGAGTGGCTGCAGGGGACGTGAGGATACAGTTCAGAATCAGGCAATGGTCTGTGAGCTGAAGGCAGGGGAAGGGAATCTGGTGCTCTCTCTAGAAAGTCCTGCCTCTGTGGCTCCTGTCTTGGGCCAGGGACCATCCTGCTGGTGAGGAACACACATCCGCGTGCTCCCATCCTGCTTCCCCACATGGCCCTGAGCTCTCTGGCCTCTGCTTCGTGAGACTTACTTTTTTTGTCGGAGCACCAGCGATGAAGGAGAAAGAAGAGGAGGATGGTGAAAGGGATTTTGACCACTGAGGTCCCAATCAGAACATGTAGGTGTCTGGGGTTACCTGGAAGAAGAGGAGACACCAATAAGAAGCTAATCATAGCAGTTCCTCTTTATGAATTGTCTCGCATTTCTTGATTGGCAGGTAACCACATACAACGTCTCTTTAGGACAAGCACCCAAATGGCGGGAGACCTAGCTTTCCCCTGCTTTCTCAATTATAGCTCTCATAGTAACCATAGAACGTGCTGAGGATACAACTACTTTAGTTGAGATGTTTGACCCTTTCAAACCTCACATTGAAATTTCACCCCCATTGTGGGAGGTTGGGCCTCTTCAGAGGTGTTTGGGTCATGGAGGTGGATCCATCATGAACAGACCAATGCTGTCCCAAGGAGACGGGGTTAGCAAGTTCCCCCTCTGTTAGTTCCTGGAGAGCTGGTTGTTAAAAAGAGCTTGGAAGCTCCATCGCTCCCTCTCCCCCTTACTCTCTCTCTTGCCGTGTGATCTCTGCGGTCTCTGCACAGACAGACCCTCCTTCCCTTCTGCCAGAGTGGGAGCAGCCTGAGGCCATCACGAGAAATAGATTCTGGTGCCATGCTTCCAGTACAGCCTGCAGAACTGTGAGGCAAACCAATCTCTTTTCTTTAGAAGTTACCCAGGCTCAAGTGTTCCTTTAGAGCAACAAAAATGGACTAAGATAGCAACATCCTGAGATCAGGAGGAATGTCTCAGAACAGCCTGGGCTGTCTTCCTGTTCTTCCTGGAGGAGGACGTCATGCAGTGCTTTAGCTGAGTGCTTCCTGTGGCTCCAGGGTACAAAACCCAGGCTGGGCTGCTTTCTGGCTTCCCCCAGTTACACTGCAAATGGGGTGACTCCATATGTCCCGAGCAGCTTTTCTGAGCCTTGAGGGACTGGCTCACATTGAAATGCAGGCTTCTGTTGTCACTCACTGCTTATCTGTTAGTAATGAACCTGCCTATGTAACGTATTCTCTGTGTGTTCTGTCTCCCTGGAGTGACGGTGAGTGATAGGAATTGGCATAGGCCCAGGTGCAGTCCAGGATTTGTTTAGAGTCTTCTCTGGGAAGACTGCACTGGGATTGATACACAGCGAATGTGCTTTAGGATTTCTACATCCACAGCATTCTTGAGTCAAACAAATTGCATTCACCAAGGAAAGGAAACAAAGGTGAAATCACGATTAAAAATAGCGAAGCAAGATTCTCTTATGTCAAACAGCCAGAAAATAGTGTTGAAGCCCGTGTGAAATGTGCTGCTCTTTGTGATCTCGGGAGACACATGTTAGGCTGCTGTTCTACCCGAGAGGCTGGGGGAAGGACCACCCCCTCCACCATCTATTGCTTCAATACCACCTGTCCTCCTGTGAATTAGTAGGAAAGGGGAACAGGAGCTAGTGCTGTCGCTGATCTCTGATTCCAAGATCTGGACTCACTCCAAGGAGTATTAATGTTTCCTCCCCATGGTCTATCTGAATCTCCACAGGTGATTGGAAGTAGGGGTGAGGTGGGGGATTTGGGTGAGTGGGCAAGTTTTTTTTTGCGATGAACAGAGCACTTTCTCTATTCCAGGATCCGTGCTGGAGGATTCAGTGGGCTTTCACATTTTCTATGTGATCTCATGCTCACAGAAAGCCAAATAGGGAAGAGGTTTTAGGCTCATTGCCTAATGGATAAGATAAAGGATCAAAGAAGTAATTATAGAGAAATAGAAAAATGATGATTGGAATTCAGGTGCCTTTGTCATTCGTGTGTGTTTTATTATATTTATGCATTTCTTATTTTTATTTTTTGAGACGGAGTCTCCTTGTGTCACCCAGGCTGGAGTGCAGTGATGCAATCTCCACTCACTGCAACCTCCACCTCCTGGGTTGAAGTCATTCTCCTGCTTCATCCTCCAGAGTAGGAGCTGGGATTACAGGGATGCACCACCATGCTCGGCTAATTTTTGTATTTTTAGTACAGATAGGGTTTCACCATGTTGGCCAGGCTGGTCTGGAACTCCTGACTTCATGGAATCCACCCGCCTTGGCCTCCTGCAGTGCTGGGTTACAAGCGTGAGCCACCGTTCACAGACTTGTATATTACGCTATAATAGGTCTCTTCATTTCCACCACCCCTCATATATCTGTCACTCCTTTGCCAGGTATTGATTTATGTGTAGGATGAATAAATCTCAGAAAGAAATTAATTAAGCGAGGATTAAACAAGTAGGAAAATCAAACCCAGCAAGCCTTTCCAGCCAATGATTCTACCTCACAAGCATAGCTTATATCCATCTGCTTCATCCACTTAGTGTCAAAATCAGCACCACATTTCACCAGTGGGTCGGGAATTGCCTTTTCCACGGTCTCCTAGATTCCAGTTACGCCCCTGGGCCTCCTTTATTTTCATGTCAGTCATATTAATCATGTAGGGATTCCTGGTTACCCCGAGGTGAATCCAATGGCTGTGAGTGTCAAACACACACTCCTTGTTGCTCCTTAGTTTCCTGTGTACCCAGTGTGCTCTCCGTCTCTCCACAGTCGTCTTGTCATTCTCCCCACCTCATTCCCAGCATTTGAGGAAGAGCCTCTTCCTTCCACATCAGATTGTTTTCACCTTTGTGCCTTCACGGCTGACAGCTGTGTGTGCAAAATCCTTCCGCCAATCTTTCAGGGGTTCAATCCGTGTTTTTCATTAATGTCACAAATATCTGAATAGTGAGACCTTCTTTGTCACCTGAAATCATACACTCAGCATTATCTATTATTGATTTTGAATTCTGGCTGGGCACAGTGGCTCACGCCTGTAGTCCCATTACTTTGGCATGCTGAGACGGTCGGATCACTTGAGGTTGGGAGTTTCAGACAAGCTTGGCCAACGTGGTGAAACATCCTCTCTACAAAAAATATACAAAAAGAATTAGCCGGGCACGGTGGCAGTTGCCTGTAATCCCAGCTACTCGAGAGGCGGAGGCAGGAGAATCACTTGAATCCAGGAGAAGCAGGTTGCAGTGAGCCAAGATCGTGACACTGCACTGTAGCCTGGAAGACAGAGGGCAACTCTGTCTCAATAAACAAAAGAACAAACAAAAAATAGATTTCATGCACAGATGCTTCCCAATGGATCATTCATTTATAGATCCACTTGTGCATTCATTTTCTGCCCTCCCATTTAACCATCTGCAATATCAGTGTCCCAAGGGCAGAGGCCAAATGCATCTTGTTCACTGTTTGTGGAAGGCAGGAGAATGCTGTCCCACCCCAAAATGTCCCTGTCCTAGCCTCCATAGCTTGTGAATATGTTATTTTACATGGAAAGGAGGAATGAAGATTGCAGATGGAATTATGGTTACTAATCAGCTGAACTTAAAACAAGGGTATCCTGGATGATTTCCAGGAGATTATGAGGGATTTTCATCTTGGTGAACCCAATAGAATCCCCAAGTTTTCAAAAGATGAGGAAGAAGGGAGAGCAGCATTCAGAGAAAGAAGTGTGGTAAGGAAGAAGGCACTGAGTGATGCCATGTGAGATGTGACCAGTCTTTGTGGGCTTTGAGGAAGGAGGAAGGGGACCAGGAGCCAAGGAACTGGGAGCCTTTAGAAGCTGGGACAAGTGAGAAGCAGATTCGTGCCTGGAATCCTCAGAGGGAAGGCAGCCTTGCTGTCACCTTGATTTTAGCCCAGTAAGATGCACTTCCTACTTTGAGCTACAGCACTGTAAGATAATTAAAAAACCGTTTTGTTTTCACCCACGAATCTTGTGGAAATTTGTTATGGCAACAATAGGAAAAGGTTCCGCACTGCACAGCCTGAGCATGGGGCCGTGGCTGAATGAGTCAGTGAGTCGAAGTGTGTGTGCATGAGCTCTGTTCTCTGTTACGGCAAGGCTCTTGCTCTGCTGAGTCAGCCAGGGTTGCTTCATGACCTACAGGAGCTCATTCCTTGGCAAGTGGAACTTCTCTAAAACACCTCGCCCTCATCAGATGTTCCCTTCCCTTCCCTCTCTCAAGTCTCCAGGAATTTATCCTCCAGTTAGGAATGCAGGCAGAACAAACATTGCATTTTTCCTGAGAAGGATGTCAGATTGGCAATCATTCTTCTAGCTTGTAGGAGGTCTCAGCTCCATAAAATGAGAGATGAAGAGATTTCACTGAGCCCTGTGTTGGGCCCAGATCCCTTTCGCTGTAGGAGTATCTGGAGTTCGGAGATGGTGGAAGACAGGTGTACAATGTCAGAGCTGTGAGATGCTGAGTCAACGCCTGAATCCAAGGTTTCCACCTCCCCAGGTTTCCAAAAGCGGATATAAGAGGGTTCTGTACTCACCGGTTTCGGAGCTTGGTTCAGTGGGTGAAGGCCAACTATTTGAAGGGTTTCCTAGAACATGAGACAGGAGAGAGGTGAGGAAATGAGGGTTTCTGTCCTCCACTCAGTGGAAATCTTTGAGGATGGTTCATGGCCAACACTCTGTTATCTAATATTGGGCCCTGGGAGTCCTGGGATCCTTTTTTCCATAATTTTTTTATGTGACACCCACTGTCTTGAGACTTCAAGGTATAAAGAGAAAACAGGAGCATCACACTACCTGATCTCAAAATATGTTACAGAGCTGTAGTAAGCAAAATAGCATGACACTGGCATAAAGAAAGGCACATAGAACAACGGAGCAGAATGAATAACACAGATATATTCCATGCATTTACATCCAATGGTTTTTTATTTTTTCTTTTGAGATGGAGTCTTGCTCTGTCACTCAGGCTGGAGTGCAAAGGTGCAATCTCGGTTCACTGCAACCTCAGCCTCCTGGGTTCAATCATTCTCTTGCCTCAAACTCCTGAGTAGTGGTATTACAGGTGCTGACCACCATGCTCAGCTAATTTTTATATTTTTAGTGGAGATGATGTTTCATCACGTCGGCCAGACTAATCTTGAACTCCTGGCCTCAGGTGATCCACCCACCTCGGGCTCCCAAAGTGCTGAAATTGCAGGTGTTAGCCACCAAGCCCAGCCCATCCAATGGACTTTGACAAAGATGCCAAGAACTCACAATCAGGAAAGGACAGTCTTTTCAATAAACAGTGCAGGGAAACCTGGACATCTACATGCAGAGGAATGAAACTGCACCTCTACCTGTCACCATACACAAAAATCAAATGAAAATGGATTAAAGATGTGAGTCTAAGGCCTGAACCTATGAAACACGTAGAACAAAATATTGGGGAAATGCTCCAGGACATTTGTCTGAAGAAAGACATTTTGTTTTAAACCTTGAAAACACAAGTAATCGAAGCAAAAATAGACCATTGGGATTACCTCATACTAAGCAACTTCTGCACCGCTAAAAATAAACCAACAAAGTGAAGAGACAACCCACAGATTGGGAGCAAATATGTGCAAACTATGCATCTGAGATGGGATTAATAACTAGAAATATAAGAAGCTCAAACAACTCAATAAAACAAATGATTTAATTGAAAAAGGAGCAAAAGACATGAAATTTCCCCACATACGAAAAACTGCTCAGTATCACTCATCATCAGAGAAACGCAAATTAAATTCAAAGTGAGTTTTCATCTCACCCCATTAAAATGGCTTTTAGGCCGGGTGAGGTGGCTCACGTTTGTCATCCTAGAACTTTGAGAGCCTGAGGTGGGTGAATCTCATAAGGTCGGGAGTTTGAGACCAGTATGACCCACATAGAGAAACACTGTCTCTACTAAAAATACAAAAATTAGTCGGGCGTGGTGGCCTGTGCCTGTAATTCCAGCTACTCGGGAGGCTGAGGCAGGAGAATCGCTTGAACCTGGGAGGTGGAGGTTGTGGTGAGCCGAGATCGCGCCACTGCACTCCAGCCTGGGTGAGAAGAGCAAAACTCCATCTCAAAATAAAATGAAATAAAATAAAATGGCTTTTAGCTGCAAGACAGGCAAAAGAAATGCTGGCAAGGTGGTAGAGAAAGGAGAACCCTGGTACCCTGTTGGGAGGAGTGTAAATTAGTACAGCCATTACGGAGAAAAGTATGGAAGTCCTTTAAAGAACTAAAAAGAGGTTGGGTGCGGTGGATCATGCCTGTAATCCCGGCACTTTGGGAGACTGAGGCGGGCACCTCAGTTGAGGTCATGAGTTTGAGAGCAGCCCAGCCAACATGGGGAAACCCCATCTATACTAAAAAAACCAAAAAGTAGCCAGGCATGGTGGTGTGCACCTGTAATCCCAGCTACTAGGGAGGCTGAGGCAGGAAAATCATTTGAACCCAGGAGGCGTAGGTTGCAATGAGCCAAGGTCGCACCACTTTGACTCCAGCTTGGGCTAAGGAGGGAAACTCTTTCTCAAAAAAGAAAAAAAGAAAAAAAGAGAACTTTCATAGTATCCAGCAATTTCACTACTGGGTTTATATCCAAAGGAAAGTAAATCAATATATCGAAGTGATATCTGCACTCGTATGATTGGTGCAGCACTGTTCACAGTAGCCAAGATGAGGAGTCAACCTACCTGCCCATCAGTGGGTAAATGGATAGAGAGAATGTAGTACATACGCATAGTGGAGACTACTCATCCATAGAAAGAATAACATCCTGTCATTTGCAGCCACATGGATGGAACTGGAGGTCATTACAAAGATTCCCATTTCTCACCCATATACAGGAGCTAAAAGGTGGATCTCATGAAGGTAGAGAGTAGAATGGTGGCTACTGGAGGACAGGAAGAAAAGGGTGGAGGGTAAAAAAAATGTATATATATATATATGTATATAAATGTATTTATGACCACTAGACTTTACACTTAAAAATGGTAAATGTGGCTGGGCGCGGTGGCCCATGCCTGTAATCCCAGCACTTTGGGAGGCAGATGCGGGTGGATCACTTGGTCAGGAGTTCGAGACCAGCTCGACCAACATGGTGAAACCACCTCCCTACTAAAAATACAAAAAGTAGCCTGGCGTGGTGGTGCGTGCCTGTAGCACCAGCTACTCAGGTGGCTGAGGCAGGAGAATCGCTTGAACCCAGGAGGTGGAGGTTGCAGTGAGCTGAGATTGTGCCACTGCACTCCAGCATAGGGGACACAGCTAGACTCCACCTCAAAAAAAAATGTTAAAAGTGGTAAGCTATATAGGTATATTTATCCTCAATAAATATTTCTTCAAAGAAAAGTAAAGGGTGTAGGGGTTGCTGGTGATGACATCTCTGTGTGGGTGAGAGGCCAGGATGGGCTTCTGGGAAATGGGTAAGGTTGAGGGGCTGAGGGAACCTCTGATCTCCCCAAACTGAGCCCAGTCTCCCTCCTCTGGGTCTCTCCTGACCGCTTTCTCCATCTGCCTGGGTGCCTGGAGCCCTGGCCGTGGGCCTCCATGCAGGCCATGTAGGAGGGTTTGGAGGTGCCCTGTCGGCCATCCTGTGCCCTGATCCCTCCCTCACACCGAGGCTGCGTCTTCTCTCTGCATCTGTCCATGCTTCTCTCCATCATCAGCAGGAAGCTCCTCAGCTAAGGCTCTAGGATCATAGGACATGGGACAGCCATGGGCTTTCCTCACCTGTGACAGAAACAAGCAGTGGGTCACTTGACTTTGACCACTCGTATGGAGAGTCACGGAAAGAGCCGAAGCATCTGTAGGTCCCTCCATGGGTGGCAGGGCCCAGAGGAAAGTTGGCCTGGAATGTTCCGTTGACCTTGGTCCCTGCAGGGAGCCTACGTTCATGGGCCTCCCCTTCCCTGGATAGATGGTACATGTCATAGGAGCTCCGGGAGCTGCAGGACAAGGTCACATTCTCTCCTGCCAGAACCGTGGGGCCCGGCTGGGCTGAGAGAGAAGGTTTCTCATATAGACCTGGAAGGAGAAGAGGCAGTTTCCTCAGGGAGGATCTTCCTTGTCACAGCTCCCTTCACCTGAGCTGAGAACTCACTCCCCTGCTCTATGACCTAATGCTCTCTCTCTCTCTCTCTCACCCTCTACCCCATCGCTCTTCATGTCTATTTCCTCCTTCCACCTTCTCTGTCTCTTTAGGTCTCTGACCTCACTTCCCCACCTCTAGATATGTTTTCTCTTTTTGGATTGTTTTATTCTCTCTGACTCTCCTTGGATTGGTTGACTTGATGTTACTTTTTTTAATTCTGAGTTTCTCACTTTGTGTCCTGTTCATAACTTTCTGCATATTTCTATCTATTATCTATCGATCTATCTATTTATCTATTCGGTGCCTATCTACAAATTCTCTACCTGTCATCTATATCTATATATCATCTATTTATCCATCAATTGTCTATCTATCCATCAATCATCTATTATCTATATCTATGTATCATCTCTCTCTCTCTATGATTTCTCTATGTCTGCCTCTGTATCTCTATGTATTATCTATCTATCTGTCTTCATCATCATCATCTCTATGTCTCATCTATTAATGAATCAATCAATCATCATCTATGTATCTATAACCTATTATCTATCATCTACCTATTTATCATCTATCTATATCTATCCATCTATCATCTGTCTTGCTCTGCCTCTCGGTCTCTCTAGTTCTCTTTGGAATCTCTGCAATTCATCCCCACATCTCCATCTTTCAATGTCCTTGTGCCTCTCCCTCAGGAGTCTAATTTTAGTGCTTTTCTCTGCTCCCTTCCATCATTCTCACTTCTCTGCCCTCTTTTCTCTTTATGTGTCTGTGAGTCTCTCAATCTCCTTCCTCTGGCTCATTCTCTGTGTGTTTATGTCTTTGCTTTTTGGTGTCCCTGATTTCTCTCTGTGCCTCTCACTGATCCTCTCATAAGTGGGCTTATTTGGAATATGAGCCTCAGAATCCAGTCTGGAGACTACAAGTTCACACAGCATACAGGGGTTGGTGTTGTGGGGCCATGATATCCTGGGACGATTACTCTCCATTACATGGAAGGCAGAGGTGTCAGAATAAACATGGCATCTGTAGGTGCCACAAGGCCTGAGGCCACAGGGCCCAACTCAGGTCAGAAATATGGGTGTCCTTGGGTTCTCCTGGTAGAGAACACTTTGTGGAGGTAAAACAGAAATGAAACTTCTAACCTGTGCCAGGTCTCTGAGCAAAGTCAGCATGGAGGGACACCTCTCTCTGGGACATGTCTGTCTGTGTGTTTCCTTTAACTCTTTCTGTCTTTTCAAACTCCCGGTATGGCCCCTGTGTCTGTTCTCTGTTATGACACCTGGTCTCTACTTGTGTCTCCTGTTTCTCTGTCTCTGTTGGCACAGACCTCACCAAGTCAGTCTCTCTCCATAAGAATACCAAGCTCATCTTCCTTACAGCCACCTGGGCCTCCAAGTCCTGGATCATTCACTCTGCATCCCAATGACAATGAGAAGAAAGTCTGGACACTCTCACCTATGATCACGATGTCCAGAGGGTCACTGGGAGCTGACAACTGATAGGGGGAGTGAGTAACAGAACCGTAGCATCTGTAGGTCCCTGCCAGGTCTTGCTTCATGCGACTGATGGAGAAGTTGGCCTTGGAGACCCCATCATGGTGTTCTCCAATGAGGCGCAAAGTGTCGTTAAACATCCCCTCTCTGTGCAGAAGGAAGTGTTCAAACATGACATCTGACCAACATTGCAGGATGACTGTCTCTTCTGATTTCACCAGGCGACCTGGGTGGGCCAGGAGGGAAGGTTTTCTGTGGACTCCTAGGAAGAGAGGTTGTGAGTTTAGAAGGTGTCTCTCTTTATCATCCCATCCATGGCACCTGGATTGAGTCAGGCTTCCCCTTCCTGGTGTCTTATCTCTCTCCTTCCTCTCTGTGTCTTCATGTTCTTTTCTGTGCCCATAACTCCTGGTGCAGGTCCTTCCATCTGTCTCCCTCACTCTTCTCTGTCCCTCTGTCTCTAGTAGCCTCTGATTCCCTTGCCGCTGGGCTCAGCCTCATCTCTTGGGCTGTTGTATCTATTTCGAACTAATGTCTTTCCTGCTGTCTGTGTGGGGGTGGAAGAGGAACCAGGATAGGCTTCACATCCAGGCTCTTAGCAGCCTGGTTCAATCTCTTTTGGACGAATTGGAATCCTTGGCAGGAGGTATGAACTGATCAGTAAGGCAGGCACCAGTGGCCACACACCCTGTTCCTGGTAGGGACTGGGAGACACTCTTGCCATGCCAGTGCCAGCTTCCATAGCCTGGCTCCTGGTGCTGGTTGGAGGAGTATCAACCGCTCCCTATGTGGATGGAGCCTGGTGGTGGCATCATCATCCGAGCCTTGCTGATCTCAGTGTAGCCAACCTTCTCCTTGTTTGGTTTCTTTAATTAATTAATTAATTTTGGCGACAGAGTCTCACTCCTTTGCCCAGGCTGGAGTGAAGTGGTGTGGTCTAGGCTTACTGCAACCTCTGTCTCCTGGGTTCAAGTGATTCTCCTGCCCTCAGCCTCCCAAGTCGCTAGGATTACATGCACCTGCCACCATGCCTGGCTATCCTTGTGTTGTTTCTTAACTTGTCCTTGACCTGGGTTCCAGTGTTGGTTTCCTGTTGCTGCTGTAGAAAATTATCAGAAGCATGGCAGCAGGAGAGAGCACACTAACCCCTTCCAATTCTGGAGACAGAAATCGGACCCTGTTTGTCGTGGGTAAAATCAAGGTACCTGCAGGGCTTCGTTCCCTCTGGAGACTCAGGAGAATCAGTTCCTTGACTTTTCCAGCCTCTATAGGCCACCTGCATTCATGGCTCCTGGACTTCCTCCACCTTCAAAGCTGATGGAGACTCCCATTATGCTGCTGTAATCCCCACTCCCCTCTTCCTCCTCCTTTCCTGTGGACCCCTGTGACTACACTGAGCCCATCAGGACAGTCCAGGTTGTCTCCCCATCTCAAGGTCAACTCATCAACAACCTGAGCTCCATCTTCTCCTTCAGTCCCTTCCCCTATATCATAAATAGTCACAGACTCCAGGGATTAGAATGTAGTCATCACTGGGGACAATTATTCTTCCCACCACAGCACCCATTTCCCTGTATTCAATCCCCCTTTACCCCAAATACAGTCAGGACTTGCATGATGGGACCCGCAAGGACACGCCCACCAGGAGCTCTGGGATTCAGGAGGTGGGACAAGGAGAATCCCAGACAGGAGCCCTCTGACCTGTGACCGTGATCTCCAGGGGGTTGCTGGGTGCCGACCACCCACTGGGGTAGTGTGGTTGTGAACCCCGACATGTATAGGTCCCTGCGTGTGCTGGGGTCACAGGGCCCATGAAAAGGCTGTTCCAGAATATTATGTTGTAGAGCTCAGGGACAGGCACCCCATCTTCCTTTTACAGACTGAAGTTGTTAAACCCAAGATAAGAATGACACTGAAGAATCACATATCCTGGAGGCACCACAGGGCTTGGCCAGGCAGACAGCAAGGGCTTGTCCTGACCACCGTGGGGAGAAGGAGGCACCGCCTTAGAGAGGAGGATGTGGAGCCGCCCCTCCCTCCCTGTGCTCTGAAGATTCTCCTCGCTTTCCAAGTTTCTATGGCTGCTATCACACCTTGGTGCCCAGGGCTAAAGGAAGAACCCATCCCGCAAACACAAGGTGTCTCCCTACAACAAAAGTGTCAGCTGAGAACTTTGAGCAAGTGCTGAGTAAGAGACTCCTACTAGATTTTAATACTGTAAGATTACTCACATAAAACAACACAGGGTAGACATGGGGTGGAGGGCATGTCCTTTGAGAATGGAATATCAGCCGATGCCTGAACGAAAATAAACAACTGAGTCCCCATCAGAGGATTGGAATGTCAGGGCCATGGCTGTGGTTTTCCCACCTCTTCTGGTAGAATGACAGCAGCCACACTGCAGCCCCTACCGTCATGGAAACGCTGAAGTGTGTGAGTAACACCTTTGTCCTCAGAGGATCTGCTGTTCCTACCACTTCCCCACCACACACCCCAGCTTTGAGCACCGTAGTCTAACCCTGGTCCCCACAGAACTTGACTCTGCCAAGGGAATGAAAGGCCAGGGAGGCAAGGTCAGAAATGTGGGCCCAGCACCCCAGGGTCCCTTCTTCCTAGTTTATGAGAGACTCCCTGACAGGACTTCCCTCCCATTTCAGGAAAATCCTCTTATGTGGGGAGATGACACCCGAAGGTTTGGAGAAGGACTCACCCTCATGTGGCCAGGCCCCCTGCAGCAAGAAGAACCCTGGAAAGAAAGATCATGATGGATGACCCATCTGCAGGCAAACCAGGGCACCCTTGCTGCCCCCACTGGGCTGTGAGTCTTGGTAGCCAGGCCCTTCCTGGGCTGAAGGTAAACTCACCCTCAGTGCCTACCTGCACCCAAGAACAGGGCTGTCGGCTGTGCAGAGACCCAGCCTCCAGGTCCATATCCCCACCTCAAGCCCATATCTCCACTCCAGGCCCATATCTCCACTCCAGGCCGATATTTCCACCCTAAGCCCATATCGCCAATCCAGGCCCATATCTCCAATCCAGGCTCAGATCTCCACCCTGGGCCCATATCTCCAATCCAGGCCCTTATCTCCACTCCAGGTCCATATCTCCTCTCCAGTCCCATATCTCCACTCCAGGCCCATATATCCTCTCCAGTCCCATATCTCCACACCCAGGCCCGTATCTCCATCCTAGGCACATATCTCCTCTCCAGGCCCAGATATCGACCTCTAGGCCCATATCTCCACTCCTGGCCCATATCTCCACTCCAGGCCCAGATATCGACCTCTAGGCCCATATCTCCACTCCTGGCCCATATCTCCACTCCAGGCCCATGTCTCCACTTCAGGCCCATATCTCTACTGCAGGCCCGTAACTCCACCTCCAGGCCCATGACTCCACTCCAGGCCCATATCTCCACCTCCAGGCCCATATCTCCCCTCCAGGTTCCTATCTCCCCTCCAGGTTCCTATCTCCACTCCAGGCCCAGATCTCCACTACAGTCCCATCACTCCACCTCCAGGCCTATATCTCGACCTCTGGGCCCAGATCTCCACTTCTAGGCCCATCACTCCATCTCTAGGCCCATATATCCACTCCAGGCCCAGATCTCCACTCCAGGCCCACAACTCCACCTCCAGGCCTATATATCCACCTCTGGGCCCAGATCTCCAACCCCACACTCCCTTCCTCTATTCCCTTCCAGGACTCACCAACACACGCCATGCTGACGACCGTGAGCGACATGGTGCTGCCGGTGCAGACAGGCGGCCGCGCCCCAGCTCAGCTCAGCAGCGCACAGGATGTTATTTGGCGCCCTGCCCATGCAGTTTACATGTTGACCACATCATGGGAGGGTGACGTACGCAGGCTCTTTCTACCTTGCATGAGGCCCAGTGGTTGCTCGCTCAAGAGCGGAACACGGCTTCCTGGAAATTGTTCTCACTAGAATTTACACCTAGCGTCCTTCACTATGACCAACTCAAAACACGTCTCAGATCCAACCTCCTGAACACGAGATGCCTAAAATCTGTGCTAACGTGAAAGACTTTTCATGTATTTTTATTGTTTTTATCTGAGATTCAAACTCTTCTTCCTGTGTAATATGCAAAATATCTAATAGGTATTATTAAGGTTTTCAGAGTCATTGTGACTAATAAACCATTAGAATTTTTCATGCTTGTATTTCTAGTATTACAGCAGAACCAGTTAAAATGATTTAAATTCCCAGGGAAGGATTATGCAATTATTTACAATCTTTGAATTGTACGTTATCAGCAAAAACCACACATTTAAACTCTGGATTTTTGTAGATTTATCTAAAATTTGTCTCATGACCCAAGTTTCCAGAGTCCCAACTCTGGAGTTTGCTCTCTCTCTGTCTCTCTCCCTCCCTCATTTTAAATTTTACAGAAATATCCAGTAACATAATGCTATAGAAAATCAAGTTTCCCCCAGCACGTCGGGAAGCCGAGGTGGGCGGATCAACTGATATAAGGAGTTTGAGAGCAGCCTGGCAACACAGTGAAACCGTGTCTCTGCTAAAAATCCAAAAATTAGCCGTGCCCAGTGGCAGGAACTTGTAACACCAGCTACCCAAGAGGCTGAGGCACGAGAATCGCTTGAACCTGGGAGGCGGAGGTTGCAGTGAGCTGAGATTGCACCACTGCAGTCCAGCCTGGGCGACAGAGCAAGACTCCGCCTCAAGAAAATAAAAATAGCAAATAGCCTATAATAACAAATTAGAGGCCTCTGGCTACTAAATTTAAAGGGTTCTATGGGGCTACATAAAGTGGAGCATCCTCAAGAATGTGGACACAGAGAGCCGTTTAGCAGAGACAGTGTCTAAAATACACATCCGTGTACACACAGTCCCTTTTTAGTTGACAAAGGCTGCCGTGTGGTTTAAGGTGGCATAGAATGTCTTCTCAATAAATAATATTAAACCAAAGGGTTACACATAGGAAATAATAAATCTAAACTTATTCTCACACTATAAAAACACTTCTTAGTTTTTATCTAGTTATTGTACATTTTTTATGATTTATATTTAAATTTGAGAAATAAAAGTCCTATACCGTCATCCTTCACTATTCATGGGTGATTGGTTTCAGGATCTCCACTCAGATACTAAAATCTGCAGATGCTCAAGCCTCTTACATAAAATGACACAGCATTTGGATATAACCCATGCACATCCTCCTGTATACATGAAATCATCTCTTGATTACTTATAATTCCTGATACAGCCTATACACCACCTCATTTGTGTGCATTCAACACAGTTTTGCTTTTTGGAACTTTGTGGGCTTTTTCTCTGAATATTTTTGATTTATACTTGGTTCAATAAACACCTGTAAACCCCACAGATACGGAGGAGCGACTGTATATTTATAGTATGAAAGATGATGCGTTGACATGTGTCCCCGTGGAGATGAGACTAACAAGGCCTATGACTCTACAAATGTTTCATCATGGAATGACTCTGCCAGCTTTCCAGGTCTGCAGAGAGTAAGAATATCACTTGTTCATGTGATTCACGATCCTTGGAACTTCCTATGTGCTGCATCTTTGGATGGAAATTGGAGTCTCAGAGACAAGTCAGGGTCCACCCTGTTCCAGAAGCTCAGAGTCCAGGGGTGAGAACCCAGTGGAGAACAGATGGGGTTATGTGGACATGGTAATGATAACACCAGAAGCCTTAGGCAAGAAAAGAGTCCCATTACCGAAACCATGAGGGCAGACATGTTTATTTGAAGGAGGGAAAACTACATTGAAATTACTAAAAACAATTTATAAGTTTTACTGCTGACAGAAGGCTGAAAGATAGTCTGAGGGGAGGTGGAACTGCATGAGAGAAGGTGGAACAGCACGTGTCTAAGTGCTGTGTTAAGAGGGAGCCTCTTGTATGTTTGGAATTGTGAGTTCCTCAGTGTGATTGCAGCCTCAAGTAGACTAGGAAGTAAGCCAGTTAGGTTGGAGAGGTGGGCAGGGGTCAAGTGAAATGGAGAATTGTGGGCTAAGCAAAGGAGTGTGTTTTCTCTCCAGCAGGCAGTGGGGACCTTAGACATTTGTAAGCAAGAGAGAGGCATGTTCAGATTCGTGGTTTGAGGAAGAGCGATCCCCTAAGATGAAGACTGATGCCTTCAGATTCCAGCTGCTGGTACATGGGAGCTGGCAACCCGGTTTTGAGACAGGGCTGTTGTCT
The DNA here is from genome assembly GCF_000001405.40 of Homo sapiens. Taxonomy (NCBI): domain Eukaryota; kingdom Metazoa; phylum Chordata; class Mammalia; order Primates; family Hominidae; genus Homo; species Homo sapiens. The sequence continues at coordinate 190,857 of NW_016107310.1, read as the reverse complement.
CCCTAGAAGATCCCCTCAAGGCCTGACTGTGGTGCTCGTGGACAGAAGACAGCTTTGGATCTGGACTCAGCATTTGGAAGTTCTATGTACATGCTGCTATCTGTTGGGGGTGTCTTGGGCCTCTGAGAAGGGGGAGTGATTTTTCTCTGTGTGAAAACACAGTGATCCAATTATGCGTATGACACCTCCTGATGGTCCTGTTCATCAGAATCCTGGAGAGAGGGAAATGCTGAGTGAGGGAGGGTGCTCACATTTTTCAGGACTCTTTGGGAATAAGACTAGCCACGAGGCTGGGCCGAGGAGCACCTACCTCCCTGTTCACTGTTCTGTTCCCCGCAGGCCCTTGGTCCATTACAGATGCATCTGTAGAAGATGGAAGTCAACAAAACAGCTCGGAGGGCACTTCTGGGTCCTCATTTCATAAGCAGATACCAACAAACAGGGGGAGGCCATAGGTGCCTGAGGTCCCTCAGTTGCCAACAGCAGACTCAGACATTCTATCTCTCTGAGCTCAAGGACCCATCCCATGAATAGCTCTGAGTTCCCATCCCATTGATTCTATCTCCCACTTTCTGCCTGTCATGGAACCTTCTCCTGGATGTGAGTGGCTGCAGGGGACGTGAGGGTACAGTTCAGAATCAGGCAATGGTCTGTGAGCTGAAGGCAGGGGAAGGGAATCTGGTGCTCTCTCTAGAAAGTCCTGCCTCTGTGGCTCCTGCCTTGGGCCAGGGACCATCCTGCCTGTGAGGAACACACACCCGCGTGCTACCATCCTGCTTCCCCACATGGCCCTGAGCTCTCTGGCCTCTGCTTCGTGAGACTTACTTTTTTTGTTGGAGCACCAGCGATGAAGGAGAAAGAAGAGGAGGATGGTGAAAGGGAGTTTGACCACTGAGGTCCCAATCAGAACGTGTAGGTGTCTGGGGTTACCTGGAAGAAGAGGAGACACCAATAAGAAGCTAATCATAGCAGTTCCTCTTTATGAATTGTCTCGCATTTCTTGATTGACAGGTAACCACATACAACGTCTCTTTAGGACAAGCACCCAAATGGTGGGAGACCTAGCTTTCCCCTGCTTTCTCAATTATAGCTCTCATAGTAACCATAGAACGTGCTGAGGATACAACTACTTTAGTTGAGATGTCTGACCCCTTCAAACCTCACATGGAAATTTCACCCCCACTGTGGGAGGTTGGGCCTCTTGGGAGGTGTTTGGGTCATGGAGGTGGATCCATCATGAACAGAACAATGCTGTCCCAAGGAGACGGGGTTAGCAAGTTCCCCCTCTATTAGTTCCCGGAGAGCTGGTTGTTCAAAAGAGCTTGGAAGCTCCATCGCTCCCCCTCCCCCTTACTCTCTCTCTTGCCGTGTGATCTCTGCGGTCTCTGCACAGACAGACCCTCCTTCCCTTCTGCCAGAGTGGGAGCAGCCTGAGGCCGTCACAAGAAATAGATTCTGGTGCCATGCTTCCAGTACAGCCTGCAGAACGGTGAGGCAAACCGATCTCTTTTCTTTAGAAGTTACCGAGGCTCAAGTTTTCCTTTAGAGCAACAAAAAAAAACTACGACAGCAACGTCCTGAGATCAGGAGGAATGTCTCAGAACAGCCTGGGCTGTCTTCCTGTTCTTCCTGGAGGAAGGCGTCATGCAGTGCTTTAGCTGAGTGCTTCCTGTGGCTCCAGGGTACAAAACCCAGGCTGGGCTGCTTTCTGGCTTCCCCCAGCTACACTGCAAATGGGGTGACTCCATATGTCCCGAGCAGCTTTTCTGAGCCTTGAGGGACTGGCTCACATTGAAATGTAGGCTTCTGTTGTCACTCGCTGCTTATCTGTTAGTAATGAACCTGCCTGTGTAATGTATTCTCTGTGTGTTCTGTCTTCCTGGAGTGACGGTGAGTGATAGGAATTGGCATAGGCCCAGGTGCAGTCCAGGAGGTGTTTAGAGTCTTCTCTGGGAAGACTGCACTGGGATTGATACACAGCGAATGTGCTTTAGGATTTATACATCCACGGCATTCTTGAGTCAAACAACTTGCATTCTCCAAGAAAAGGAAACAAAAGTGAAATCAAGATAAAAAAAGCGAAGTAGAATTCTCTTATGTCAAATGGCCAGGAAATAGTGTTGAAGCCCATGTGAAACGTGCTACTCTTTGTGATCTCAGGAGACACATGTTAGGCTGCTGTTCTACCCCAGAGGCTGGGGGAAGGACCACACCCTCGGCCATCTATTGCTTCAATACCACCTGTCCTCCTGTGAATTAGTAGGAAAGGGGAGCAGGAGCTAGTGCTGACGCTGATCTCTGATTCCAAGATCTGGACTCACTCCAAGGAGTATTAGAATTTACCTCCCCATGGCCTATCTGAATCTCCACAGATGATTGGAAGTAGGGGTGAGGTGGGGGATTTGGGTGAGAGGGCATGTTTTTTTTGTGATGAACAGAGCACTTTGTGTATTCCAGGATCTGTGCTGGAGGATTCAGCGGGCTTTCACATTTTCTATATGATCTCATGCTCACAGAAAGCCAAATAGGGAAGAGGTTTTAGGCTCATTGCCTAATGGATAAGATAAAGGATCAAAGAAGTAATTATAGAGAAATAGAAAAATCATGATTGGAATTCAGGTCCCTTTGTCATTTGCGTGTGTTATATTATATTTATATTTATGCATTTCTTATTTTTATTTTTTGAGACGGAGTCTCCTTGTGTCACCCAGGCTGGAGTGCAGTGATGCAATCTCCACTCACTGCAAACTCCACCTCCTGGGTTGAAGTCATTCTCCTGCTTCATCCTCCAGAGTAGGAGCTGGCATTACAGGGATGCACCACCATGTTCGGCTAATTTTTGTGTTTTTCCTAGAGACAGGGTTTCACCATGTTGGCCAGGCTGGTCTCGAACTGCTGACTTCGTGTGATCCACCCGCCTTGGCCTCCTGCAGTGCTGGGTTACAGGCGTGAGCCACCGTTCACAGACTTGTATATTATGCTGTAATAGGTCCCTTCATTTCCACCACCCCTCATATATCTGTCACTCCTTTGCCAGGTATTGATTTATGTGTAGTAGGAATAAAGCTCAGAAAGAAATTAAGCGAGGATTAGACAACTAGGAAAATCATACCCAGCAAGCCTTTCCAGCCAATGATTCCACCTCACAAGCATATCTTATATCCATCTGCTTCACCCAGTTAGGGTCTAAATCAGCACCACATTTCACCAGTGAGGCGGGAATTGCCTTTTCCACGGTCTCCTAGATTCCAGTTACGCACCTGGGCCTCCCTTATTTTCATGTCAGTCACTATTAATCATGTAGGGATTCCTGGCTACCCCGAGGTGAATCCAATGGCTGTGAGTGTCAAACACACACTCCTTGTTGCTCCTTAGTTTCCTGTGTACCCAGTGTGCTCTCCGTCTCTCCACAGTCGTCTTGTCATTCTCCCCACGTCATTCCCAGCATTTGAGGAAGAGCCTCTTCCTTCAACATCAGATTATTTTCACCTTTGTGCGTTCACGGCTGACAGCTGTGTGTGGAAAATCCTTCCACCAATCTTTCAGGGGTTCAATCCGTGTTTTTCATTAATGTCACAAATATCTGATTAGTGAGATCTTCTCTGTCACCCAAAATCATACACTCAGCATTATGTATTATTTATTTTAAATTCTGGCTGGGCACAGTGGCTCACGCCAGTTATCCCAGTACTTTAGGATGCTGAGACGGTCGGATCACTTGAGGTTGGGAGTTTCAGAGAAGCTTGGCGAAGATGGTGAAACATCCTCTACAAAAAATATACAAAAAGAATTAGCCGGGCATGGTGGCAGTTGCCTGTAATCCCAGCTACTTGAGAGGCTGACGCAGGAGAATCACTTGGATCCAGAAGGTGCAGGTTGCAGTGAGCCAAGATGGTGACACTGCACTGTAGCCTGGAAGACAGAGGGCGACTCTGTCTCAATAAACAAATGAAGAAACAAACAAATAGATTTCATACACAGATGCTTCCCAATGGATCATTCATTTATTGGTCCACTTGTGCATTCATTTTCTGCCCTCCCATTTAACCATCTGCAATATCAGTGTCCCAAGAGCAGAGGCCAAATGCATCTTGTTCACTGTTTGTGGAAGGTAGGAGAATGCTGTCCCACCCCAAAATGTCCCTGTCCTAGCCTCCATAGCTTGTGAATATCTTATTTTACATGGAAAGGAGGAATGAAGATTGCAGATGGAATTATGGTTGCTAATCAGCTGAACTTAAAACAAGGGTATCCTGAATGATTTCCGGGAGATTATGATGGATTTTCATCTTGGTGAACCCAATAGAATCCCCAAGTTTTCAAAAGATGAGGAAGAAGGGAGAGCAGCATTCAGAGAAAGAGGTGTGGTAAGGAAGAAGGGTCTGAGTGATGCCATGTGAGATGTGACCAGCCTTTGTGGGCTTTGAGGAAGGAGGAAGGGGACCAGGAGCGAAGGAATGTGGGAGCCTCTAGAAGCTGAGAAAAGTGAGAAGCAGATTCTTGCCTGGAATCCTCAGAGGGAAGGCAGCCTTGCTGTCACCTTGATTTTAGCCCAGTGAGATGCACTTCATACTTTGAGCTACAGCACTGCAAGATAATTAAAAAACCGTTTTGTTTTCACCCACGAATCTTGTGGAAATTTGTTATGGCAACAATAGGAAAAGCTTCCACACTGCACAGCCTGAGCATGGGGCCGTGGCTGAATGAGTCAGTGAGTCGAAGTGTGCGTGCATGAGCTCTGTTCTCTGTTACAGCAAGGCTCTTTCTCTGCTGAGTCAGCCAGGGTTGCTTCATGACCTATAGGAGCTCATTCCTTGGCAAGTGGAACTTCTCTAAAACACCTCGCCCTCATCAGATGTTCCCTTCCCTTCCCTCTCTCAAGTCTCCAGGAATTTATCCTCCAGTTAGGAATGCAGGCAGAACAAACATTGCATTTTTCCTGAGAAGGATGTCAGATTGGCAATCATTCTTCTAGCTTGTAGGAGGTCTCAGCTCCATAAAATGAGAGATGAAGAGATTTCACTGAGCCCTGTGTTGGGCCCAGATCCCTTTCGCTGTAGGAGTATCTGGAGTTCGGAGATGGTGGAAGACAGGGGTACAATGTCAGAGCTGTGAGATGCTGAGTCAACGCCTGAATCCAAGGTTTCCACCTCCCCAGGTTTCCAAAAGCGGATATAAGAGGGTTCTGTACTCACCGGTTTTGGAGCTTGGTTCAGTGGGTGAAGGCCAACTATTTGAAGGGTTTCCTAGAATATGAGACAGGAGAGAGGTGAGGAAATGAGGGTGTCTGTCCTCTACTCAGTGGAAATCTTTGAGGATGGTTCATGGCCAACACTCTGTTATCTAATATTGGGCCCTGGGAGTCCTGGGATCCTTTTTTCCATAATTTTTGTATGTGACGCCCACTGTCTTGAGACTTCAAGGTATAAAGAGAAAACAGGAGCATCACACTACCTGATCTCAAAATATGTTACAGAGCTGTAGTAAGCAAAACAGCATGACATTGGCATAAAGAAAGGCACATAGAACAATGGAGCAGAATGAATAACACAGATATATTCCATGCATTTACATCCAATGGTTTTTTATTTTTTCTTTTGAGATGGAGTCTTGCTCTGTCACTCAGGCTGGAGTGCAGAGGTGCAATCTCAGTTCACTGCAACCTCAGCCTCCTGGGTTCAATCATTCTCTTGCCTCAAACTCCTGAGTAGTGGTATTACAGGTGCTGACCACCATGCTCAGCTAATTTTTATATTTTTAGTGGAGACGATGTTTCATCACGTCGGCCAGACTGATCTTGAACTCCTGGCCTCAGGTAATCCACCCGCCTCGGCCTCCCAAAGTGCTGGAATTGCAGGTGTGAGCCACCAAGCCCAGCCCATCCAATGGACTTTGACAAAGGTGCCAAGAACTCACAATCAGGAAAGGACAGTCTTTTCAATAAACAGTGCAGGGAAACCTGGACATCTACATGCAGAGGAATGAAACTGCACCTCTACCTGTCACCATACACAAAAATCAAATGAAAATGGATTAAAGATGTGAGTCTAAGGCCTGAACCTATGAAACACGTAGAAGAAATATTGGGGAAATGCTCCAGGACGTTTGTCTGAAGGAAGACATTTTGTTTTAAACCTTGAAAACACAAGTAATCGAAGCAAAAATAGACCATTGGGATTACCTCAAACTAAGCAACTTCTGCACTGCTAAAAATAAACCAACAAAGTGAAGAGACAACCCACAGATTGGGAGCAAATATGTGCAAACTATGCATCTGAGATGGGATTAATAACTAGAAATATAAGAAGCTCAAACAACTCAATAAAACAAATGATTTAATTGAAAAAGGAGCAAAAGACATGAAATTTCCCCACATATGAAAAAGTGCTCAGTATCACTCATCATCAGAGAAATGCAAATTAAAATCAAAGTGAGTTTTCATCTCACCCCATTAAAATGGATTTTAGGCCGGGTGAGGTGGCTCACGTCTGTCATCCTAGAACTTTGAGAGCCTGAGGTGGGTGAATCTCATAAGGTCGGGAGTTTGAGACCAGTATGACCCACATAGAGAAACGCTGTCTCTACTAAAAATACAAAAATTAGTCGGGCGTGGTGGCGTGTGCCTGTAATTCCAGCTACTCGGGAGGCTGAGGCAGGAGAATCGCTTGAACCTGGGAGGTGGAGGTTGTGGTGAGCCGAGATAGCGCCACTGCACTCCAGCCTGGGTGAGAAGAGCAAAACTCCATCTCAAAATAAAATGAAATAAATAAAATGGCTTTTAGCTGCAAGACAGGCAAAAGAAATGCTGGCAAAGTGCTAGAGAAAGGAGAACCCTGGTACCCTGTTGGGAGGAGTGTAAATTAGTACAGCGATTACGGAGAAAAGTATGGAAGTCCTTTAAAGAACTAAAAAGAGGTTGGGTGTGGTGGATCAGGCCTGTAATCCCGGCACTTTGGGAGACTGAGGCGGGCACCTCAGTTGAGGTCATGAGTTTGAGAGCAGCCCAGCCAACATGGGGAAACCGCATCTATACTAAAAAAACCAAAAAGTAGCCAGGCATGGTGGCGTGCACCTGTAATCCCAGCTACTAGGGAGGCTGAGGCAGGAAAATCATTGGAACCCAGGAGGCGGAGGTTGCAATGAGCCAAGGTCGCACCACTTTGACTCCAGCTTGGGCTAAGGAGGGAAACTCTTTCTCAAAAAAGAAAAAAAAAAAAAAGAGAACTTTCATAGTATCCAGCAATTTCACTACTGGGTTTATATCCAAAGGAAAGTAAATCAATATATCGAAGTGATATCTGCACTCGTATGATTGGTGCAGCACTGTTCACAGTAGCCAAGATGAGGAGTCAACCTACCTGCCCATCAGTGGGTGAATGGATAGAGAGAATGTAGTACATACGCACAGTGGAGACTACTCATCCATAGAAAGAATAACATCCTGTCATTTGCAGCCACATGGATGGAACTGGAGGTCATTACAAAGATTCCCATTTCTCACCCATATACAGGAGCTAAAAGGTGGATCTCATGAAGGTAGAGAGTAGAATGGTGGCTACTGGAGGGCAGGAAGAAAAGGGTGGAGGGTAAAAAAAATGTATATATATATATATATATAAATGTATTTATGACCACTAGACTTTACACTTAAAAATGGTAAATGTGGCTGGGCGTGGTGGCTCATGCCTGTAATCCCAGCACTTTGGGAGGCAGATGCGGGTGGATCACGTGGTCAGGAGTTGCAGACCAGCTCGACCAACATGGTGAAACCACCTCTCTACTAAAAATACAAAAAGTAGCCTGGCGTGGTGGTGCGCACCTGTAGCACCAGCTACTCAGGTGGCTGAGGCAGGAGAATCGCTTGAACCCAGGAGGCGGAAGTTGCAGTGAGCTGAGATTGTGCCACTGCACTCCAGCATAGGGGACAGAGCTAGACTCTGCCTCAAAAAAAAAAAAATGTTAAAGGTGGTAAGCTATATAGGTATATTTATCCTCAATAAATATTTCTTCAAACAAAAGTAAAGGGTGTAGGGGTTGCTGGTGATGACATCTCTGTGTGGGTGAGAGGCCAGGATGGGCTTCTGGGAAATGGGTAAGGTTGAGGGGCTGAGGGAACCTCTGATCTCCCCAAACTGAGCCCAGTCTCCCTCCTCTGGGTCTCTCCTGACCGCTTTCTCCATCTGCCTGGGTGCCTGGAGCCCTGGCTGCGGGCCTCCATGCAGGCCATGTAGGAGGGTTTGGAGGTGCCCTGTCGGCCATCCTGTGCCCTGATCCCTCCCTCACACCGAGGATGCATCTTCTCTCTGCATCTGTCCATGCTTCTCTCCATCCTCAGCAGGAAGCTCCTCAGCTAAGGCTCTAGGATCATAGGACATGGGACAGCCATGGGCTTTCCTCACCTGTGACAGAAACAAGCAGTGGGTCACTTGACTTTGACCACTCGTAGGGAGAGTCATGGAAAGAGCCGAAGCATCTGTAGGTTCCTCCTTGGGTGGCAGGGCCCAGAGGAAAGTCGGCCTGGAATGTTCCGTTGACCTTGGGCCCTGCAGAGAACCTACGTTCATGGGCCTCCCCCTCCGTGGATAGATGGTACATGTCATAGGAGCTCCAGGAGCTGCAGGACAAGGTCACGCTCTCTCCTGCCAGAACCGTGGGGCCCGGCTGGGCTGAGAGAGAAGGTTTCTCATATAGACCTGGAAGGAGAAGAGGCATTTTCCTTATGGAGGATCTTCCTTGTCACAGCTCCCTTCACCTGAGCTGAGAACTCACTCCCCTGCTCTATGACCTAATGCTCTCTCTCTCTCTCTCTCACCCTCCACCCCATCTCTCTTCATGTCTATTTCCTCCTTCCACCTTCTCTGTCTCTCTAGGTCTCTGACCTCGCTTCCCCACCTCTAGATATGTTTTCCGTTTTTGGATTGTTTTATTCTCTCTGACTCTCCTTGGATTGGTTGACTTGATGTTACTTTTTTAAATTCTAAGTTTCTCACTTTGTGTCCTGTTCATAACTTTCTGCATATTTCTATCTATTATCTGTTGATCTATCTATTTATCTATTCGGTGCCTATCTACAAATTCTCTACTTGTCATCTATATCTATATATCATCTATGTATCTATCACTTGTCTATCTATCCATCAATCATCTGTTATCTATATCTATGTATCATCTCTCTCTCTATGACTTCTGTCTGCCTCTCTATCTCTATGTATTATCTATCTGTCTTCATCATCATCTCTACGTCTCATCTATTAATGAATCAATCAATCATCATCTATGTATCTATAACCTAGTATCTATCATCTACCTATTTATCATCTATCTATATCTATCCATCTATCATCTGTCTTGCTCTGCCTCTCGGTCTCTCTAGTTCTCTTTGGAATCTCTGCAATTCATCCCCACATCTCCATCTTTCTATGTCCTTGTGCCTCTCCCTCAGGACTCTAATTTTAGTGCTTTTCTCTGCTCCCTTCCATCATTCTCACCACTCCTCTGCCCTCTTTTCTCTCTCTTTATGTGTCTGTGAGTCTCTCAATCTCCTTCCTCTGGCCCATTCTCTGTGTGTTTATGTCTTTGCTTTTTGGTGTTCCTGATTTTTCTCTGTGCCTCTCAGTGATCCTTTCATATGTGGGGTTATTTGGAATGTGAGCCTCAGAATCCAGTCTGGAGACTACAAGTTCACACAGCATACAGGGGTTGGTGTTCTGGGGCCATGATATCCTGGGACGATTACTCTCCATTACTTGGAAGGCAGAGGTGTCAGAATAAACACGGCATCTGTAGGTGCCAGAAGGCCTGAGGCCACAGGGCCCAACTCAGGTCAGAAATATGGGTGTCCTTGGGTTCTCCTGGTAGAGAACACTTTGTGGAGGTAAAACAGAAATGAAACTTGTAATCTGTGCCAGGTCTCTGAGCAAAGTCAGCATGGAGGGACACCTCTCTCTGGGACATGTCTGTCTGTCTGTCTCCTTTAACTCCTTCTGTCTTTTCTAACTCTCGGAATGGCCCCTGTGTCTGTCCTCTGTTATGACACCTGGTCTGTACTTGTGTCTCCTGTTTCTCTGTCTCTGTTGGTACAGACCTCACCAAGTCAGTCTCTCTCCATAAGAATACCAAGCTCATCTTCCTTACAACCACCTGGGCCTCCAAGTCCTGGATCATTCACTCTGTGTCCGAATGACAATGAGAAGAATGTCTGGACACTCTCACCTGTGATCACGATGTCCAGAGGGTCACTGGGAGCTGAAAACTGATAGGGGGAGTGAGGAACAGAACCGTAGCATCTGTAGGTCCCTGCCAGGTCTTGCCTCATGCGACCGATGGAGAAGTTGGCCTTGGAGACCCCATCAATGTGCTCTCCAATGAGGCGCAAAGTGTCGTTAAACGTCCCCTCTCTGTGCAGAAGGAAGTGCTCAAACATGACATCTGACCAACATTGCAGGATGACTGTCTCTTCTGATTTCACCAGGCGACCTGGGTGGGCCAGGAGGGAAGGTTTTCTGCGGAATCCTAGGAAGAGAGTTTGTGAATTTAGAAGGTGTCTCTCTTTATCATCCCATCCATGGCACCTGGATTGAGTGAGGCTTCCCCTCCCTGGTGTCTGTCTCTCTCCTTCCTCTCTGTGTCTTCATGTTCTTTTCTGTGCCCATAACTCCTGGTGCAGGTCCTTCCATCTGTCTCCCTCCCTCTTCTCTGTCCCTCTGTCTCTAGTAACCTCTGATTGCCTTGCCGCTGGGCTCAGCCTCATCTCTTCGGCTGTTGTATCTATTTTGAACTAATGTCTTTCCTGCTGTCTATGTGGGGGTGGAAGAGGAACCAGGATAGGCTGCACATCCAGGCTCTTAGCAGCCTGGTTCAATCTCTTTTGGACGAATTGGAATCCTTGGCAGGAGGTATGAACTGAACAGTAAGGCAGGCACCAGTGTCCACACACCCTTTTCCTGGTGGGGACTGGGAGCCACTCTTGCCATGCCTGTACCAGCTTCCATAGCCTGGCTCCTGGTGCTGGTTGGAGGAGTATCAACCGCTCCCTATGTGGATGGAGCCTGGTGGTGGCATCATAATCCCACACTTGCTGATCTTGGTGTAGCCAACCTTCTCCTTGTTTGGTTTCTTTAATTAATTAATTTTGGAGACAGAGTCTCACTCCTTTGCCCAGGCTGGAGTGAAGTGGTGTGGTCTAGGCTCACTGCAACCTCTGTCTCCTGGGTTCAAGTGATTCTCCTGCCCTCAGCCTCCCAAGTCGCTAGGATTACATGCACCTGCCACCACGCCCGGCTATCCTTGTGTCCTTTCTTAACTTTTCCTCGAGCTGGGTTCCGGTGTTGGTTTCCTGTTGCTGCTGTAGAAAATTATCAGCAGCATGGCAGCAGGAGAGAGCACACTGACCCCTTCCATTTTTGGAGGCAGAAGTCGGGCCCTGTTTTTCCTGGGCTAAAATCAAGGCACCTGCAGGGCTTCGTTCCCTCTGGAGACTCAGGAGAATCAGTTCCTTGACTTTTCCAGCCTCTATAGGCCACCTGCATTCATGGCTCCTGGCCTTCCTCCACCTTCAAAGCTGATGGAGACTCCCATTATGCTGCTCTAATCCCCACTCTCCTCTTCCTCCTCCTTTCATGTGGACCCTTGTGACTACACTGAGCCCAGGGGGACAGTCCAGGCCTTCTCCCATCTCAAGGTCAACTCATCAACAACCTGAGCTCCATCTTCCCCTTCAGTCCCTTCCCCTATAACATAAATAGTCACAGACTCCAGGGATTAGAATGTAGTCATCACTGGGGACAATTATTCTTCTCACCACAGTACCCATTTCCCTGTATTCAATCCCCCTTTACCCCAAATACAGTCAGGGCCTGCGTGAAGGGACCCTCAAGGACATGCCTACCGGAAGCTCTGGGATTCAGGAGGTGGGACAAGGAGAATCCCAGACAGGAGCCCTCTGACCTGTGACCATGATCAGCAGGGGGTTGCTGGGTGCCGACCACCCACTGGGGGAGTGTGGGTGTGAACCCCGGCATCTATAGGTCCCTGTGTGTGACGGGGTCACAGGGCCCATGAAAAGGCTTTTCCAGAATATTCTGTTGTAGTGTTCAGGGACAGGCACCCCATCATCCTTGTACAGACTGAAGTTGTTAAACCCAAGATTAGAGTGACACCGAAGAGTCACATGTTCTGGAGGCACCACAAGGCTGGGCCAGGTAGAAAGCAAGGGCTTGTCCTGACCACCTTGGGGAGAAGGAGGCGCCACCTTAGAGAGGAGGATGTGCAGCCGCCCCTCCCTCCCTGTGCTCAGAAGATTCTCCCCACTTTCCACATTTCTATGGCTGCTATCACACCTTGGTGCCTAGGGCTAAAGGAAGGACTCATCCCACAAAGACAAGGTGTCTCCCTACAACAAAAATGTCAGCTGAGAACTTTGAGCAAGTGCTGAGTAAGAGACTCCTACTAGATTTTAATACTGTAAGATTACTCACATAAAACAACACAGGGTAGACATGGGGTGGAGGGCATGTCCTTTGAGAATGGAATATCAGCAGATGCCTGAATGAAAATAAACAACTGAGCCCCCATCAGAGGATTTGGAATGTCAGGGCCATGGCTGTGGTTTCCCACCTCTTCTGGTAGAATGAGAGCAGCCACACTGCAGCCCCTACCATCATGGAAACGCTGAAGTGTGTGAGTAACACCTTTGTCCTCAGAGGATCTGCTGTTCCTACCACTTCCCCACCACACAACCCAGCTTTGAGCACCCTAGTGTAACCCTGGTCCCCACAGAACTTGACTCTGCCAAGGAAATGAAAGGCTGGGGAGGCGAGGTCGGAACTGTGGGCCAAGCACCCCAGGGTCCCCTCTTTCTAGTTTAAGAGAGACTCCCCGACAGGACTTCCCTCCCGTTTCAGGAAAATCCTCTTATGTGGGGAGATGACACCTTAAGGTTTGGAGAAGGACTTACCCTCATGTGGCCAGGCCCCCTGCAGCCAGAAGAACCCTGGAAAGAAAGACCATGATGGACCATCCATCTGCAGGCAAACCAGGCCTCCCTTGCTATCCCCACTAGGCTGTGAGTCTTGGTAGCCAGGCCCTTCCTGGGCCGAAGGGAAACTCACCCTCAGTGCCTACCTGCACCCAAGAACAGGGCTCTCGGCTGTGCAGAGACCCAGCCTCCAGGCCCATATCCCCACCCCAAGCCCATATCTCCACTCCAGGCACATATCTCCACTCCAGGCTGATATTCCCACCCTAGGCCCATATAGCCAATCTGGGCCCACATCTGCAATCCAGGCTCAGATCTCCACCCCAGGCCCATAACTCCAGTCCAGGCCCATATCTCCACTCCAGGCCCATATCTCCTCTCCAGGCCCATATCTCCACTCCAGGCCCATATCTCCACCCCGGGCCCAGATCTCCACCTCCAGGCCCATAACTACATTCCAGGATCATATCTCCACTCCAAGCCCATATCTCCACAACAGGCCCATATCTCCACTCCAGTCCCATATCTCCACCCCACGCCCATATCTCCATTCCAGGCCCATATCTCCACTCCAGGCCCATATCTTCACCACACGCCCATATCTCCACTCCAGGCCCATATCTCCACCCCACGCCCATATCTCCACTCCAGTCCCATATCTCCACTCCACGCCCATATCTCCACTCCAGTCCCATATCTCCACCCCATGCCCATATCTGCACTCCAGTCCCATATCTCCACCCCACACCCATATCTCCACTTCAGTCCCATATCTCCACTCAAGGCCCATATCTCCACCCCACGCCCATATCTCCGCTCCAGGCCCATATCTCCACTCCAGGCCCATATCTCCAACCTCCAGGCCCATATCTCCACTCCAGGCCCATATCTCCATCTCCAGGCTCATATCTCCACTCTAGGCCCATATCTCCACTCCAGGCCCTTATGTCCACCTCCAGGCCCATATCTGCACTCCAGACCCACATCTCCACTCCAGGCCCATATCTGCACTCCAGGCCCCTATCTCCACTCCAGGGCCATATCTCCACTCCAGGCTCATATCTCCACTCCAGGCCCATATCTCCAATCCAGGCCCAGATCTCCACTCCAGGCCCAGATCTCCACCTCCAGGCCCATATCTCCACTCTAGGCCCATATCTCCACTCCAGGCTCATATCTCCACTCCAGGTCCATATCTCCACCTCCAGGCCCATATCTCCACTCCAGGCCCATAACTCCACCTCCAGGCCTATATCTCCACCTCTGGGCCCAGATCTCCATCCCCGCGCTCCCTCCCTCTATTCCCTTCCAGGACTCACCAACACATGCCATGCTGATGACCATGAGCGACATGGTGGTGCCGGAGCAGACAGGCGGCCGCACCCCTAGCTCAGCTCAGCAGCGCACAGGATGTTATTTGGCTCCCTGCCCATGCAGTTTACATGTTGACCACATCATGGGAGGGTGACGTACGCAGGCTCTTTCTACCTTTCATGAGGCCCAGTGGGTGCTCGCTCAAGAGCAGAACACGGCTTCCTGGAAATTGTTCTCACTAGAATTGACACCTAGCGTCCTTCACTATGACCAACTCAAAACACGTCTCAGATCCAACCTCCGGAACACAGGATGCCTAAAATCTGTGCTAACGTGAAAAACTTTTCATGTATTTTTATTGTTTTTATCTGAGATTCAAACTCTTCTTCATGTGTAATATGCAAAATATCTAATAGGTATTATTAATGTTTTCAGAGTCATTGTGACTAATAAACCATTAGAATTTTTCATGCTTGTATTTCTAGTATTACAGCAGAACCAGTTAAAATGATTTAAATTCCCAGGGAAGGATTATGCAATTATTTACAATCTTCGAATTGTACTTTATCAGCAAAAACCACACATGTAAATTCTGGATTTTTATAGTTTTATCTATAATTTGTCTCATGACCCAAGATTCCAGAGTCCCAACTCTGGAGTTTGCTCTCTCTCTGTCTCTGTCCCTCCCTCATTTTAAATTTTACAGAAATATCCAGTAACATAATGCTATAGAAAATCAAGTTTCCCCCAGCATGTTGGGAAGCCGCGGTGGGCGAATCAACTGAGATGAGGAGTTTGAGAGCAGCCTGGCCAACATAGTGAAACCGTGTCTCTGCTAAACATTCAAAAATTAGCCGTGCCTGGTGGCAGACACCTGTAATGCCAGCTACTCAAGAGGCTGAGGCACGAGAATCGCTTGAACCTGGGAGGCGGAGTTTGCAGTGAGCTGAGATTGCACTACTACAGTCCAGCCTGGGTGACAGAGCAAGATTCCGCCTTAAGAAAAAAAAAATAGCAAGTAGCCTATAATAACAAATTAGAGGGCTCTGGCTACTAAATTTAAAGGGTTCTATAAGGCTACATGAAGTGCAGCATCCTCAAGAGTGTGGACACAGAGAGCCCCTTAGCAGAAACAGTGTCTAAAATACATCCGTGTACACACAGTCCCTTTAGAGTTGACAAAGGCTGCCCTGTGGTTTAAGGTGGCATAGAATGTCTTCTCAATAAATAATATTAAACCAAAGGGTTACACGTAGGAAAAAATAAATCTAAACTTATTCTCACACTATAAAAACACTTCTTGTTTTTATCTAGTTTATAATTTTTTTATGATTTATATTTAAAATTGAGAAATAACAGTTTTATACGGTCATCCTTCACTATTCCTGGGTGATTGGTTTCAGGATCTCCACTCAGATACCAAAATCTGCAGATGCTCAAGCCTCTTACATGAAATGGCACAGCATTTGCATATAACCCATGCACATCCTCCTGTGTACATGAAATCATCTCTAGATTACTTATAATTCCTGATATGGCCTACACACTGCTTCATTTGTGTCCCTTCAACATAGTTTTGCTTTTTGAAAGTTTGTGGATTTTCTTCTCTGAATATTTTTTATTTATAGTTGGTTCAATAAACACCTGTAAACCCCACAGATACGGAGGAGCGACTGTATATATATATATAGCATGAAAGATGATGTGTTGATATGTGTCCCCATGGAGATGAGACTAACAAGGCCTATGACTCTACAAATGTTTCATCGTGGAATGACTCTGCCAGCTTTCCAGGTCTGCAGAGAGTAAGAATATCACTTGTTCATGTGATTCATGATCCTTGGAACCTCCTATGTGCTGCATCTTTGGATGGAAATTGGAGTCCCAGAGACAAATGAGGCTCCACCCTGCTTCCAGAAGCTCAGAGTCCAGGGGAGAGAACCCAGTGGATAACAGATGGGGTTATGTGGACATGGTAATGATAACAGCGGTTTCTTTCAGCGAATAGTGTCACATTACCTAAAGCAATGAGGGCAGACATGTTTATTTGAAAAGGAGACAGCTACATTGAAATCACAAAAAATTTTATAAGTTTCACTGCTGACTGACAGAAGGCTGGAAAATAGTCTGAGGAAAGGTGAAACAGCATGAGGGAAGGTGGAACAGCACGTGTCTCAGTGCCATGTTAAGAGGGAGCCTCTTGTATGTCTGGAATTGTGAGTTCCTCAGTGTGATTGCAGCCTCAAGTAGACTAGGAAGTAAGCCAGTTCAGTTGGAGAGGTGGGCAGGGGTCAAGTGAAATAGAGAATTGTGGGCTAAGCAAAGGTGTGTGTCTTCTCTCCAGCAGGCAGTGGGGACCTTAGACATTTGTAAGCAAGAGAGAGGCATGTTCAGATTTGTGGTGTGAGGAAGAGCGATCCCCTAAGATGAAGACTGATGCCTTCAGATTCCAGCTGCTGGTACATGGGAGCTAGCAACCCGGTTTTGAGACAGGGCTGTTGTCTCCCTAGAAGATCCCCTCAAGGCCTGACTGTGGTGCTTATGGGCAGGAGACAATGATCTTGGCTTAGCATTTGGAAGTTCCATGTACATGGTGGTATCTGTTGGAGGTGTCTTGGGCCTCTGAGAAGGGGAAGTGATTTTTGTCTGTGTGAAAACGCAGTGATCCAACTGTGCATATGTCACCTCCTGAGGGTCTTGATCATCAGAGTCCTGGAGAGAGGGAAATGCTGAGTGAGGGAGGGTGCTCACATTCTTCAAGACTATTAGGGAATGAGACTCAATCCATGAGGCTGGGCTGAGGAGAACCTACCTCCCTGTTCACTGTTCTGTCCCCGGCAGGCTCTTGGTCCATTACAGCAGCATCTGTAGGAGATAGAAGTCATCAAAACAGCTGGAAGGGCACTTTTGGGTCCTCATTTCATGAGCAGACACCAACACACAGCGGGAGGCCGTAGGTGCCTGAGGTCCCTCAGCTGTCATCAGCCAGACCCAGACATTCTATCTCTCTGAGCTCAAGGACCCATCCCATGAATAGCTCTGAGTTCCCATCCCAGTGATTCTGTCTCCCCTTTCTGCCTGTCATGGAACCTTCTCCTGGATGTCAGTGGCTGCAGGGGACGTGAGGATACAGTTCAGAATCAGGCAATGGTCTGTGAGCTGAAGGCAGGGGCAGGGTGTCTGGTGCTCTCTCTAGAAAGCCCTGCCTCTGTGGCTCCTGCCTTGGTCCAGGGACCATCCTGCCAGTCAGGAACACACACCAGTGTGCTCCCATCCTGCTTCCCCACATGGTCCTGAGCTCTCTGACCTCTGCTTCGTGAGACTTACTCTTTTTGTTGGAGCAGCAGCAATGAAGGAGAAAGAAGAAGAGGATGATGAAGAGGATGATAGCCACTGAGGTCCCAATCAGAATGTGCAGGTGTCTGCGGATACCTGGGGGAAGGTGGGAATCCAATAAGAAGCTAATTATAGCAGTTCCTCTTTATGGATTGTCTCTCATTTCTTGGTTGCCAGCTAAGCACATACAACATCTGTTTAGGACAAGTTCCCCGATGGCAGGATACCCAGCTTTCTCCTGCTTTCTCAGTTATAGTTCTCAAAATAATCAGAGAACATGCTGGGGATACCACTGCTATAGTTTGAATGTTTGACCCCGCCAAACCTCACGTTGACACTTATCTCGCAGTGTGGGAGGCTGGGCCTATTGAGAGACGTTCCAGTTATGGGGGTGGATCCATCATGAATACATTAATGCTGTCCCCATGAGACGTGGTTGGCAAGTTCTCCATGAGGTCCCTAGGACTGGTTGCTAAAAAGAGCATGGGGTTTCTCCATGTTGGCCAGGCTGGTCTCAAACTCCTGACCTCAAGTGATCCAAACGCCTTGGCCTCCCAAAGTGTTGGGTTACAGGCGTAAGCTCCCATTCACAGACTTGTATATTATGCTATAATAAGTCCCTTCATTTGCACCACCCCTCATCTATCTATCACTCCTCTGCCAGATATTGATTTACATGTAGGAAAAATAAATCTCAGAAAGAAATTAATATATTCAAAATTAAATAAGTAGGCATTATCAAATCCAGCAAGACCTCCCTACAAATGATTCTACCTCACAGACATATCTTATACCCATCTACTTCATTCATTTAGTGTCTAAATCAGCACCACATTTCACCAGTGGGGCGGGAATTGCCTTTTCCACGGTCTCCTAGATTCCAGTTACGCACTTGGGCGTCCCTTATTTTCATGTCAGTCATATTAATCATGTAGGGATTCCTGGTTACCCCGAGGTGAATCCAATGGCTGTGAGTGTCAAACACACGCTCCTTGTTGCTCCTTAGTTTCCTGTGTACCCAGTGTGCTCTCCGTCTCCCTACAGTCATCTTGTCATTCTCCCCACGTCATTCCCAGCATTTGAATGCAGAGCCTCTTCCTTCCACATCAGATTGTTTTCACATTTGTGCCTTCACGGCTGACAGCTGTGTGTGGAAAATCCTTCCGCCCATCTTCCAGGGGTTGAATCTACTTTTTTTTTTCATTATGGTCACAAATATTATCTGATTAGTGAGACTTTCTCTGTCTCCTGAAATTATACACTTAGAATTCTTTATTATTTATTTTAAATTTCGGCTGGGCGCAGTGGCTCACGCCTTGAGTCCCAGCATTTTGGGATGCTGAGACGGTCGGATCACTTGAGGTTGGGAGTTGGAGACAATCTGCGCAACATGGTGAAACTCCATCTCTACTAAAAAATATAAAAGAAAATTAGCTGGGTGTGGTGGAGGGGACTGGAATCACAACTAGTCAGGAGGCTGAGGCAGGAGAATCGCCTGAACCCGGGAGGCGGAGGTTGTGGTGAGCTGAGGTCATGCCACTGCACTCCAGCCCGGGGACAGAGAATGACTTCGCCGCAAATAAATAAATACATAAATAGATAAATAGATAAATAAATAGGTAAATAGATTTCATGCACGGATGCTTCCCAATGGATCAATCATTACTGGTCCACTTGTGCATTCATATTCTGCCCTCCCATTTGCCCATCTGCAATGTCAGTGTCCTAAGAGCAGAGGCCAAATGCATCGTGTTTACCATTTGTGGAAGGCAGGAGAATGCTGGCCCACCCCCAAAATGTCCCTGTCCTAGCCTCCATAGCTTGTGAATATGTTATTTTACATGAAAGGAGGAATAAAGATTGCAGATGGAATTATGGTTGCTAATCAGCTGAACTTAAAAAGAGGTTATCTTGGGTGATTTTAGGGAGATTGTGATGGATTATCTTGGTAAACTCAATAGAATCCCAAAGTCTTTAAAAGAGGAAGAAAAAGTCAGAGCAACACTTAGAGAAAGAGGTGAGGTAAGGAAGAGGGATCTGAGTGATGCCACGTGAGAGATGTGACGAGCTTTTGTGGACTTCGAGGAAGGAGGATGGGGACCAGATGCCAAGGAACGTGGGAACCTCTGGGAGCTGGGAAATGTGAAAAGCCGATTCTCGCCTGGAACCTTCAGAGAAAAGGCAGCCTCGCAGTCACCTTGATTTTAGCCCAGTGAAATGCATTTCATATTTCTGAGCTATAACACTGTAAGATAATTTTAAAAGCTGTGTTGTTGTCATCCATGAAGTTTGTGGAGATTTATTATGGCAACAGCAGGAAAGGGTTCCACACTGTACAGTCAGAGCACAGGGCAGTGGCTGAATAAGTGAGTGAGTGGAAGTGTCATATTCGTGGATGAACTACGTTCCTTCTTACTGCAAGGCTCTTGCTCTGCTGACTCAGCCAAGGTCGCATCATGACCAACAGGGGCTCATTCCTTGGCAAGTGGAACTTCTCTAAATCACCTTTCCCTCATCAGATGTTCCCTTCCCCTCCCTCTCTCAAGTCCCCTCGAATTTATCCTCCAATTTGGAATGCAGGCAGAAAAAACACCACATTATCCCTGAGAAGGATGTCAGATTTGTACTCGTCCGTCTAGCTTGGAGGAGGTCTCAGCTGCAGAAATTTGAAATGAAGAGACTTCACTGAGCCCTTTGCTGTCCTCAGATACCCTTCGCTGTTGTAGTGTCTGGGGGTCAGAGATGTTAGAAGACAGGCCCACAATCACAGAGCTGGGAGGTGCTGAGCCAATGCTTGAATCCAAGATACCAACCTCCCCAGGTTTCCAAAAGCAGAGATAAGAGGGATCTTTACTCACCAGTTTTGGAGCTTGGTTCAGTGGGTGAAGATGAACTACTTGAAGAGTTTCCTAGAACACAGGACAGGAGAGAGGTGAGGAAATGAGGATGCCTGTCTTCTACTCAAAGGAAATCTTTGAGGTTGGTTCATGGCCAACACTCTGTTATCTAATGTTGGGCCCTAGGAGTCCTGGCGTCCCCTTCTCCATCATCATTGTTAAATGATGCCCAGTGTCCTGAGATTTCGAGGTATAAAGACAAAACAGGTGCTGGAGGCCTCACACTCCCTGACTTAAAAATATGTTACAAAGCTGTAGTAAGCACAACAGCATGACATTGGCATAAAGGCCCTTAGAGCAATGGAGCAGAATGAAGAACACAGATATAATTCATGCATTCACATCCAATGGACTTTGACGATTGTAGGTGCCAAGAACCTGCAATCAGGAAACGACGGTCTTTTCAATAAATGGAGCAGGGAAAACTGGTATCTACATGCAGTTGATGAAACTGCACCTCTACCTCTCACCATACACAGAAATCAAATGAAAA
This sequence comes from Homo sapiens, assembly GCF_000001405.40. Taxonomy (NCBI): domain Eukaryota; kingdom Metazoa; phylum Chordata; class Mammalia; order Primates; family Hominidae; genus Homo; species Homo sapiens. The sequence goes on along the minus strand of NW_016107310.1, from coordinate 169,841 downwards.
TGGAAGAAACACTTAAGGCCTGAAACCATTAAGCGTCTAAAAGGAAAGAGTGGGGAAATGCTCCAGGACATTTGTCTGAGGAAAGACATTTTATTTGAAATCTCAAAAACACAAGAAATCAAAACAAAATAATAGACCTTCGGGATTACATCAAAGTAAGCAGCTTCTGCACCGCAAAGGAAGCAACCAACAAAGTGAAGAAGAGACAAATTGGGAGAAAATATTTGTGAAGTATGCATCTGAGAGGGGATTAATAACTAGAATATACATAAAACTCAAGCAACGGTATAAAACAATGAATTTAATTTAACAATTAGTAAAAGACCTGAACAGACATTTCTCAACAAACAAAACGTACAAATGGCGAACATGTACATGAAAAAGTGCTCAGTATCACTAATCATGCCAATTGAAATCACAGTGAGCTATCATCTCATCCCATTAAAGTGGCTTTTATCTGAAACACAGACAAAATGAATGCTGGCAAGGTGGTAGAGAAAGGAGAACCCTGGTACCCTGTTGATAGGATCTAGCAATTCCACTACTGGGTGTAAACCCAAAGGGAAGGACATCAGTGTATCGAAGTGATATCTGCACTCATACGATTGGTGCAGCACTGTTCACAGTAGCCAAGATGTGGAGTCAACTTACCTGCCCGTCAGTGGGTGAATGGATAGAGAGAATGTAGTACACACACACAGTGGAGAGTACTCATCCGTAGAAAGAATAACATCCTGACATTTGCAGCCACATGGATGGAACTGGAGGTCATTGCAAAGATTCCCATTTCTCACCCATATACAGGAGCTAAAAGGTGGATCTCATGAAGGTAGAGAGTAGAATGGTGGCTACCAGAGGGCAGGAAGTAAAGGGTGGAGTGTAACAACAACAATAAAAAAGAATATAGATGTATTTATTTATTTAGAGACAGAATCTCTCTCTGTCTCCCAGGCTGCAGTGCAGTGGCCTGATCTCAGCTCAGTGCAACCTCTGCCTCCTGGGCTTACGTACTTCTCCTGCCTCAGCCTCCCATGTAGCTAGGAATACAGGTGCATGCCAGCATGCCCAGCCAATTTTTCTTGTCTGTTTAGTAAAGATGAATTTCCCTCATGTTGGCCAGGCTGATCTCGAGCCTCTGATCTTAAATGATCCACCTTCCTTGGCCTCTCAAAGCACCGAGATTATAACTGTGAGCCACTGCACCCTGCATATAAAGGAATTTATGACCACTAGATTTTACTTTTAAAAATGGTAAAGGTGGCAAATTATATAGTTACATTTAACCTCAATAAATGTTTTTTCAAACGGAAAGAAAAGGGTGTAGGGGTTGCTGGTGATGACATCTCTGTGTGGGTGAGAGGCCAGTATGGGCTTCTGGGAAATGGGTAAGGTTGAGGGTCTGAGGAGCCTCTGATCTCCCCAAACTGAGCCGAGTCTCCCTCCTCTGGGTCTGTCCTGACCACTTTCTCCATCTGCCTGGGTGCCTGGAGCCCTGGCCGCGGGCCTCCATGCAGGCCGTGCAGGAGGGTTTGGAGGTGCCCTGTCTGCCATCCTGTGCCCTGATCCCTCCCTCACACCATGCTGCGTGTTCTCTCTGCATCTGTCCATGCTTCTCTCCATCATCAGCAGGAAGCTCCTCAGCTAAGGCTCTAGGATCACAGGACATGGGACAGGCATGGGCTTTCCTCACCTGTGACAGAAACAAGCAGTGGGTCACTCGGGTCTGACCACTCATAGGGTGAGTCATGGAGAGAGCTGAAGCATGTGTAGGTCCCTCCGTGGGTGGCAGGGCCCAGAGGAAAGTCAGCCTGGAATGTTCCATCGACGCTGGGCACTGCAGGGAGCCTAGGTTCATGGGCCCTCCCCTCCCTGGATAGATGGTACATGTCAAATGAGCTCCTGGAGCTGCAGGACAAGGTCACGTTCTCTCCTGTGCGAACCGTGGGGCCCGGCTGGGCTGAGAGTGAAGGTTTCCCAAATAGACCTGGAAGAAGAGGCAGTTTCCTCAGGGAGGTTCTTCCTTGTCACAGCTCCCCTCACACCTGAGCTGAGAACTCACTCCCCTGCTCTATGACCTAATGCTCTCTCTCTCTCTCACCCTCCACCCCCGACTCTCCCTGTGGATCCCTCCCTATGCAGCTCCAGCCTGGTGGTGGCATCAGCAGTGCACCCTTGCTGACCTTAGGGTAGCCAACCCTCTTGTTTGGTTTTTTAACTTGTCCTTGACCTGGATTCCTGTGTTGTTTCCTGTTGTTGCTGCAGAAAATTATCACAAACACGGCGGCGGGAGAGAACACTTCTGTTGACAGAAATCAGACCCTGTTCTTCCTGGGCTACAATCAAGGCATCTGCAGGGCTGCATTCCCTCTGGAGACTCGGGAGAATCAGTTCCATTGACTTCTCCAGCCCCTAAAGGCCACCTGCATTCCGTGGCTTCTGGCCTTCCTCCACTTTCAAAGCCCGCAGTGGCTGGTGGACTCTCCCTCCCACTACGCTGCTCTAATCCCCACTCTCCTCTTCCTCCTCCTCTCATGTGGACCCTTGTGATTACACTGAGCCCAGTGGGAGAGTCCAGGTCGTCTCCCCATCTCAAGGTCAACTCATCAACAACCTGAACTCCATCTTCCCCTTCAGTCCCATGTCCTATAACATAAATAGTCACAGGCTCCAAGGATTACAATATAGCCATGCTGCCGACAGTTACTCTTTCCACCACAGCACCCATTCCCCTGTATTCAATCCCCATTGACACCAAATACAGTCAGGGCCTGGATGATTGGACCCTGGTGGACACCCCCACCAGATGCTCTGGGATTCAGGAAGTGGGAGAAGGAGAAGCCCAGACATGAGTCCTCTGACCTGTGACCACGATCACCAGGGGGTTGCTGGGTGCCGACCACTCAATGGGGGAGCGCGGGTGTGAACCCCGACATCTGTAGGTCCCTGCGTGTGCAGGGGTCACAGGGCCCATGAGGATGCTCTTCCAGAATATTTTGTTGTAGAGCTCAGGGACAGGCACCCCATCTTCTTTGTACAGACTGAAGATGGTAAACCCAAGACGAGAGCGACACAGAAGAGTCACATGTCCTCCTCGAGGCACCACAGCGCTGGGCCAGGCAGACAGCAAGGGCTTGTCCTGTCCACCTGGGGGAGAAGGAGGCGCCACCTTAGAAAGGAGGATGTGGAGCCGCCCCTCCCTGCCAGTGCTCAGAAGATTCTCCCCACTTTCCTCGTTTCTAAGGCTCCTACCACACTTGGGTGCCCATGGCTACGGGAAGGACCCACCCCGCATAGACTTGGCGTCTCTCTACAACAAAAGTGTCAGCTGAGAACTTTGAGCAAGTGCTGAGTAAGGGACTCCTACTAGATTTTAATACTGCAAGATTACTCACATAAAACAACACAAATAGACATGGGGTCGAGGGCATGTTCTTTGTGAATGGAATATCAGCCAATGTGTGAACCACAATACACAACTGAGCCCCCAACAGAGGATTTGGAAGGTCAGGGCCCTGGCTGGGGTTCCCCCACCTCTGAGGTAGAATGACAGCAGCCACACTGCAGCCCCTACCGTCATGGAAACGCTGGAGGGTGTGAGTTACACCTTTGTCCTCAGAGGCCTGCTGTTCCTAGCACTGCTTTGCTCCCTTCCTCTGCCAGTGACACCACATCCCAGCCGCACAGCCCAGCTTGGAGGACCCCAGTCTACCCTCCCGGGTTCCCACAGAACCTGACTCAGCCAAGGGAAAGGAAGGCTGGGGAGGGCAAGGTCGGAACTGTGGGCTGAGCACCCCAGGGTCTCCTCATCCTTGTTTATAAGAAAATCCCCCACCGGGCTTCCCTCCTGTTTCAGGAAAATCCTCTTATGTGGGGAGATGACACCCGAAGGTTTGGAGAAGGACTCACCCTCATGTGTCCAGGCCCCCTGCAGCAAGAAGAACCCTGGAAAGAAAGATCATGATGGACCATCCATCTGCAGGCAAACCAGGACTCCCTTGCTGCCCCCACTGGGCTGTGAGTCTTGGTAGCCAGGCCCTTGCTGGGCTGAAGGGAAACTCACCCTCAGTGCCTGCTTGCACCCAAGAACAGGGCTGTCGGCTGTGTAGAGACCCAGCCTCCAGGCCCATATCCGCACCCCAGGCCCCTATCCCCACCCCAAGCCCATATCTCCACTCCAGGCCCATATCTCCACTCCAGGCCAATATTTCCACCCTAGACCCATATCTCCAATCCAGGCCCATATCTCCACCCCAAGCCCATATCTCCATCCTAGGCCCATATGTCCACTCCAGGCCCAGATATCCACCTCTAGGCCCATATCTCCACCTCCAGGCCCATATCTCCACCTCCAGGCCCATGTCTCCACTCCAGGCCCATATCTCCATCCCAGGCCAATATCTTCACTCCAGGCTCCTATCTCCCCTCCGGGTTCCTATCTCCACTCCAGGCCCAGATCTCCACTCCAGGCCCATATCTCCACCTCCAGGCCCATATCTCCACTCCAGACCCAGATCTCCACTTCTAGGCCCATCACTCCATCTCCAGGCCCATATATCCACTCCAGGCCCAGATCTCCACTCCAGGCCCATAACTCCACCTCCAGGCCTATATCTCCACCTCTGGGCCCAGATCTCCATCCCCGCACTCCCTCCCTCTATTCCTTTCCAGGACTCACCAACACACGCCATGCTGATGACCATGAGCGACATGGTGCTGCCGGTGCAGACAGGCGGCCGCGCCCCAGCTCAGCTCAGCAGCGCACAGGATGTTATTTGGCGCCCTGCCCATGCAGTTTACATGTTGACCACATCACGGGAGGGTGACGTACGCAGGCTCTTTCTACCTTGCATGAGGCCCAGTGGGTGCTTGCTCAAGAGCGGAACACGGCTTCCTGGAAATTGTTCTCACTAGAATTGGCACCTCGCGTCCTTCACTATGACCAACTCACAACACGTCTCAGATCCAACCTCCCGAACACAAGATGCCTAAAATCTGTGCTAACGTGAAAGACTTTTCATGTATTTTTATTGTTTTTATCTGAGATTCAAACTCTTCTTCCTGTGTAATATGCAAAGTATCTAATAGGTATTATTAATGTTTTCGGAGTCATTGTGACTAATAAACCATTAGAATTTTTCATGCTTGTATTTCTAGTATTACAGCAGAACCAGCTAAAATGATTTAAATTCCCAGGGAAGGATTATGCAATTATTTACAATCTTAGAATTGTACTTTATCAGCAAAAACCACACCTGTAAATTCTGGAGTTTTGTAGTTTAATCTAAAATTTGTCTCATGACCCAAGATTCCAGAGTCCCAACTCTGGAGTTTGATCTCTCTCTGTCTCTCTCCCTCCCTCGTTTTAAATTTTACAGAAATATCCAGTAACATAATGCTATAGAAAATCAAGTTTTCCCCAGCACGTTGGGAAGCCGAGGTGGGCGGATCAACTGAGATAAGGAGTTTGAGAGCAGCCTGGTCAACATAGTGAAACCGTGTCTCTGCTAAAAATCCAAAAATTAGCCGTGCCTGGTGGCAGGCACCTGTAACGCCAGCTGCTCAAGAGGCTGAGGCACGAGAATCGCTTGAACCTGGGAGGTGGAGGTTGCAGTGAGCTGAGATTGTGTCACTGCAGTCCAGCCTGGGCGACAGAGCAAGACTCCGCCTCAAGAAAAAAAAAGCAAATAGCCTATAATAACAAATTAGAGGGCTCTGGCTACTAAATTTAAAGGGTTCTATAAGGCTACATAAAGTGCAGCGTCATCAAGAGTGTGGACACAGAGAGCCCCTTAGCAGAAACAGTGTCTAAAATACATCCATGTACACACAATCCCTTTAGAGTTGACAAAGGCTGCTGTGTGGTTTAAGGTGGCATAGAATGTCTTCTCAATAAATAATATTAAACCAATGGGTTACACCTAGTAAAAAATAAATCTAACTGACACTATAAAAACACTTCTTAGTTTTTATCTAGTTGTACATTTTTTATGATTTATATTTAAATTTGAGAAATAAAAGTCATATACGGTCATCCTTCACTATTCGTGGGTGATTGGTTTTGAGATCTCCACTCAGATACCAAAATCTGTAGATGCTCAAGCCTCTTATATGAAATGGCACAGCATTTGCAAATAACCTATGCACATCCTCCTGTATACATGAAATCATCTCTAGATTACCTATAATTCCTGATACAGCCTACACACAGCTTCATTTGTGTCCATTTAACATAGTTATGCTTTTTGAAACTCTGTGGATACTTTCTCTCAATATTTTTGATTTATACTTGGTTCAATAAACACCTGTAAACCCCGCAGATATGGAGGAGTGACCGTATATTTATATTATGAAAGAAGATGTGTTGATATGTGTCCCCATGGAGATGAGACTAACAAGGCCTATGACTCTACAAATGTTTCATTGTGGAATGACTCTGCCAGCTTTCCAGGTCTGCAGAGAGTAAGAGTATCACTTGTTCATGTGATTCGCGATCCTTGGAACCTCCTATGTGCTACATCTTTGGATGGAAATTGGAGTCCCAGAGACAAATGAGGCTCCACCCTGCTTCCAGAAGATCAGAGTCCAGGGATGAGAACTCAGTGGGGAACAGATGGGATTATATGGACATGGTACTGATAACACCGGAAGCCTTAGGCAAGAAAAGAGTCCCATTACCGAAACCATGGGGGCAGACATGTTTATTTGAAGGATGGAAAACTACATTGAAGTTATTTTAAAAAGTATATAAGTTTTACTGCTGACAGAAGGCTGAAAGCTAGTCTGAGGGGAGGTGGAACAGCATGAGGGAAGGTGGAACAGCACGTGTCTAAGTGCTGCGTTAAGACGGAGCCTCTTGTATGTGTGGAATTGTGAGTTCCTCAGTGTGATTGCAGCCTCAAGTAGACTAGGAAGTAAGCCAGTTAGGTTGGAGAGGTGGGCAGGGGTCAAGTGAAATGGAGAACTGTGGGCTAAGCAAAGGAGTGTGTTTTTTCTCCAGCAGGCAGTGGGGACCTTAGACATTTGTAAGCAAGTGAGAGGCACATTCAGATTTGTGGTGTGAGGAAGAGCGATGCCCTAAGATGAAGACTGATGCCTTCAGATTCCAGCTGCTGGTACATGGGAGCTGGCAACCCAGTTTTGAGACAGGGCTGTTGTCTCCCTAGAAGATCCCCTCAAGGCCTGACTGTGGTGCTCGTGGACAGAAGACAACTTTGGATCTGGGCTCAGCATTTGGAAGTTCTATGTACATGCTGGTATCTGTTGGGGGTGTCTTGGGCCTCTGAGAAGGGCGAGTGATTTTTCTCTGTGTGAAAACACAGTGTTCCAATTATGCGTATGACACCTCCTGATGGTCTTGTTCATCAGAATCCTGGAGAGAGGGAAATGCTGAGTGAGGGAGGGTGCTCACATTTTTCAGGACTCTTTGGGAATAACACTAGCCACGAGGCTGGGCCGAGGAGCACCTACCTCGCTGTTCACTTCTGTTCCCTGCAGGCTCTTGGTCCATTACAGCAGCATCTGTAGAAGACGGAAGTCAACAAAAGAGCTCGGAGGGCACTTCTGGGTCCTCATTTCATAAGCAGATACCAACAAACAGGGGGAGGCCATAGGTGCCTGAGGTCCCTCAGTTGCCAACAGCAGACTCAGACATTCTATCTCTCTGAGTTCAAGGACCCATCCCATGAATAGCTCTGAGGTCCCATTCCATTGATTCTATCTCCCACTTTCTGCCTGTCATGGAACCTTCTCCTGGATGTGAGTGGCTGCAGGGGACGTGAGGATACAGTTCAGAATCAGGCAATGGTCTGTGAGCTGAAGGCAGGGGAAGGGAATCTGGTGCTCTCTCTAGAAAGTCCTGCCTCTGTGGCTCCTGTCTTGGGCCAGGGACCATCCTGCTGGTGAGGAACACACACCCGTGTGCTCCCATCCTGCTTCCCCACATGGCCCTGAGCTCTCTGGCCTCTGCTTCGTGAGACTTACTTTTTTTTGTTGGAGCACCAGCGATGAAGGAGAAAGAAGAGGAGGATGGTGAAAGGGATTTTGACCACTGAGGTCCCAATCAGAATGTGCAGGTGTCTGAGGTTACCTGGAAGAAGAGGAGACACCAATAAGAAGCTAATCATAGCAGTTCCTCTTTATGAATTGTCTTGCATTTCTTGATTCACAGGTAACCACATACAGCGTCTCTTTAGGACAAGCACCCAGATGGCGGGAGACCCAGCTTCCTCCTGCTTTCTCAGTTATAGCTCTCATAGTAACCATAGAACGTGCTGAGGATACCACTACTTTAGTTGAGATGTTTGACCCCTTCAAACCTCAGATTGAAATTTACCCCCCAGTGTGGGAGGGTGGGCCTCTTGGGAGGTGTTTGAGTCATGGGGGTGGATACATCATGAACAGATCAATGCTGTTTTAAGGAGACGGGGTTAGCAAGTTCTCCCTCTATTAGTTCCTGGAGAGCTGGTTGTTCATAAGAGCTTGGAAGCTCCATCACTCCCCCTCTCCCTTGCTCCCTCTCTTGCCGTGTGATCTCTGTGGTCTCTGCACAGACAGACCCTCCTTCCCTTCTGCCAGAGTGGGAGCAGCCTGAGGCAGTCACAAGAAATAGATGCTGGTGCCATGCTTCCAGTACAGCCTGCGGAACTGTAAGGCAAACCAAAATCTTTTGTTTAGAAGTTACCCAGGCTCAAGTGTTCCTTTAGAGCAACAAAAATGGACTAAGACAGCAACGTCCTGAGATCAGGAGGAAAGTCCCAGAACAGCCTGGGCTGTCTTCCTGTTCTTCCTGGAGGAGGACGTGATGCAGTGCTTTAGCTGAGTGCTTCCTGTGGCTCCAGGGTACAAAACCCAGGTTGGGCTGCTTTCTGGCTTCCCCCAGCTACACTGCAAATGGGGTGACTCCACATGTCTCGAGCAGCTTTTCTGAGCCTTGGGGAACTGGCTCACATTGAAATGTAGGCTTCTGTTGTCACTCGCTGCTTATCTGTTAGTAATGAACCTGCCTGTGTAATGTGTTCTCTGTGTGTTCTGTCTCCCTGGAGTGACGGTGAGTGATAGGAATTGGCATAGGCCCAGGTGCAGTCCAGGAGGTGTTTAGAGTCTTCTCTGGGAAGACTGGACTGGGATTGATACACAGCGAATGTGCTTTAGGATTTCTACATCCACGGCATTCTTGAGTTAAACAACTTGCATTCTCCAAGAAAAGGAAACAAAAGTGAAATCAAGATCAAAAATGCGAAGTAGAATTCTCTTATGTCAAACAGCCAGAAAATAGTGTTGAAGCCCGTGTGAAATGTGCTATTCTTTGTGATCTCGGGAGACACATGTTAGGCTGCTGTTCTACCTGACAGGCTGGGGGAAGGACCACCCCCTCGACTATCTATTGCTTCAATACCACCTGTCCTCCTGTGAATTAGTAGGAAAGGGGAGCAGGAGCTAGTGCTGGCACTGATCTCTGATTCCAAGATCTGGACTCACTCCAAGGAGTATTAGCATTTACCTCCCCATGGTCTATCTGTATCTGCACAGGTGATTGGAAGTAGGGGTGAGGTGGGGGATTTGGGTGAGGGGGCAAGTTTTTTTTGTGATGACCAGAGCACTTTCTCTATTCCAGGATTTGTGCTGGAGGATTCAGCGGGCTTTCACATTTTCTATATGATCTCATGCTCACAGAAAGCCAAATACGGAAGAGGTTTTAGGCTGATTGTCTAATGGATAAGATAAAGAATCAAAGAAGTAATTATAGAGAAATAGAAAAATGATGATGGGAATTCAGGTGCCTTTGTCGTTCGTGTGTGTTTTATTATATTTATGCATTTCTTATTTTTATTTTTTGAGACGGAGTCTCCTTGTGTCACCCAGGCTGGAGTGCAGTGATGCGATCTCCACTCACTGCAACCTCCACCTCCTGGGTTGAAGTCATTCTCCTGCTTCATCCTCCAGAGCAGGAGCTGGGATCACAGGGATGCACCACCATGCTCGGCTAATTTTTGTATTTTTAGGAGAGATAGGGTTTCACCATGTAGAGATAGGGTTTCACCATGTTGGCCAGGCTGGTCTCGAACTCCTGATTTCTTGGAATCCACTGGCCTTAGCCTCCTGCAGTGCTGGGTTACAGGAGTGAGCCACCGTTCACAGACTTGTATACTATGCTATAATAGGTCCCTTCATTTCCACCACCCCTCATATATCTGTCACTCCTTTGCCAGGTATTGATTTATGTGTAGGAGGAATAAATCTCAGAAAGAAATTAATTTAGCAAGGATTAAACAACTAGGAAACTCAAACCCAGCAAGCCCTCCCTGCAAATGATTCTACCTCCCAAGCATAGCTTATATCCATCTGCTTCATCCACTTAGGGTCTAAATCAGCACCACATTTCACCAGTGGGGTGGCAATTGCCTTTTCCACAGTCTCCTAGATTCCAGTTACGCACCTGGGCCTCCTTTATTTTCATGTCAGTCATATTAATCATGTAGGGATTCCTGGTTACCCCGAGGTGAATCCAATGGCTGTGAGTGTCAAACACACACTCCTTGTTGCTCCTTAGTTTCCTGTGTACCCAGTGTGCTCTCCGTCTCTCTACAGTCGTCTTGTCATTCTCCCCACTTCATTCCCAGCATTTGAGGCAGAGCCTCTTCCTTCAACATCAGATTGTTTTCACCTTTGTGCCTTCACAGCTGACAGCTGTGTGGAAAATCCTTCCGCCAATCTTTCAGGGGTTCAATCCGTGTTTTTCATTAATGTCACAAATATCTGATTAGTGAGACCTTCTCTGTCACCCAAAATTATACACTCAGCATTATCTATTATTGATTTTGAATTCTGGCTGGGCAAAGTGGCTCACGCCTGTAATCCCAGTACTTTGGGTTGCTGAGATGGTCGGATCACTTGAGGTTGGGAGTTTCAGACAAGCTTGGCCAACATGGTGAAACATCCTCTCTACAAAAAATATACAAAAAGAGTTAGCCGGGCATGGTGGCAGTTGCCTGTAATCCCAGCTACTCGAGAGGGTGAGGCAGGAGAATCACTTGGATCCAGGAGACGCAGGTTGCAGTGAGCCAAGATCGTGACACTGCACTGTAGCCTGGAAGACAGAGGGAGACTCTGTCTCAATAAATAAATGAACGAACAAACAAATAGATTTCATGCACAGATGCTTCCCAATGGATCATTCATTTATTGGTCCACTTGTGCATTCATTTTCTGCCCTCCCATTTAACCATCTGCAATATCAGTGTCCCAAGAGCAGAGGCCAAATGCATCTTGTTCACCGTTCGTGGAAGGCAGGAGAATGCTGTCCCACCCCAAAATGTCCCTGTCCTGGCCTCCATAGCTTGTGAATATGTTATTTTACATGGAAAGGAGGAATGAAGATTGCAGATGGAATTACGGTTGCTAGTCAGCTGAACTTAAAACAAGGGTATCCTGAATGATTTCCGGGAGATTATGATGGATTTTCATCTTGGTGAACCCAATAGAATCCCCAAGTTTTCAAAAGATAAGGAAGAAGGGAGAGCAGCATTCAGAGAAAGAGGTGTGGTAAGGAAGAAGGGTCTGAGTGATGCCATGTGAGATGTGACCAGTCTTTGTGGGCTTTGAGGAAGGAGGAAGGGGACCAGGAGCCAAGGAACTGGGAGCCTTTAGAAGCTGGGACAAGTGAGAAGCAGATTCTTGCCTGGAACCCTCAGAGGGAAGGCAGCCTTGCTGTCACCTTGTTTTTAGCCCAGTGAGATGCACTTCATACTTTGAGCTACAGCACTGTAAGATAATTAAAAAGCCGCTTTATTTTCACCCACGAATCTTGTGGAAATTTGTTATGGCAACAATAGGAAAGGATTCCAACTGCACAGCCTGAGCATGGGGCCGTGGCTGAATGAGTCAGTGAGTCGAAGTGTGCGTGCATGAGCTCTGTTCTCTGTTACGGCAAGGCTCTTGCTCTGCTGAGTCAGCCAGGGTTGCTTCATGACCAACAGTAATTCATTCCTTGGCAAGTGGAACTTCTCTAAAACACCCACCCTCATGAGATGTTCCCTTCCCTTCCCTCTCTCAAGTCCCCAGGAATTTATCCTCCAGTTAGGAATGCAGGCAGAAAAAACACTGCATTTTTCCTGAGAAGGATGTCAGATTGGCAATCATTCTTCTAGCTTGTAGGAGGTCTCACCTGCAGGACATTAAAGGTTAAGAGACTTCGCTGAGCCCTTTGGTGGCCCTAGATCCCTTTCACTGTTGGAGTGTCTGGAGTTCAGAGATGGTGGAAGACAGGCCCTCATTCACAGAGCTGGGAGGTTTGAGCCAACGCTTGCATCCAAGGCTTCCACCTCCCCAGGTTTCCAAAAGCAGAGATAAGAGGGGTCCTTTACTCACCAGATTTGGAGCTTGGTTCTGTGGGTGAAGGCCAACTACTTGAAGGGTTTCCTAGAACATGGGACAGGAGAGATGTGAGGAAATGAGGGTGCTTGTCCTCTACTCAATGGAAATCTTTGAGGTTGGTTCATGGCCAACACTCTGTTATCTAATGTTGGACCCTGGGAGTCTTGGGATCCTCTTCTCCATAATTTTTGTGTGCGATGCCCACTGTCTTGAGACTTGAAGGTATAAAGAGAAAACAGGAGCATCACACTACCTGACTTAGAAATATGTTACAGAGCTGTAGTAAGCAAAACAGCATGACATTGGCATAAAGAAAGGCACATAAAAAATGGAACAGAATGGAGAACACGGATATGATCCATGCATTTACACCCAATGGCTTTTTTTTGTGTGTGTGTGATGGAATCTTGCTCTGTCATGCAGGCTGGAGTGCAGAGGTGCAATCTCAGCTCAATGCAACCTCCACTTCCTGGATTCAAGCAATTCTCTTGCCTCAAACACCCGAGTAGTGGTATTACAGGCACTGGTCACCATGCTCAGCTAATTTTTGTATTTTTAGTAGAGACGAGGTTTCACTCTGTTGGCCAGCCTGGTCTTGAACTCCTGGCTTCAGGTGATCCACCCGCCTCGGCCTCCCAAAGTGCTGGAATTGCAGGTGTGAGCCACCATACCCAGCCCATTTAATGGACTTTGACAAAGGTGCCAAGAACTCACAATCAGGAAAGGACAGTCTTTTCAATAAATGGTGTGGGGAAAACTGGATATCTACATGCAGAGGAATAAAACTGCATCTATACCTGTCACCATAAACAAAAATCAAATGAAAATGGATTAAAAACATGAGTCTAAGGCCTGAACCTATGAAACATGTAGAAGAAAATAATGGGGAAGACATTTGTCTGACGAAAGACATTTTGTTTAAAACCTTCAAAACACAAGTAATCAAAGCAAAAAATAGACCATTAGGATTACATCAAACCAAGCAACTTCTGCACCACAAAAGATAAACCAAGAAAGTGAAGAGACAACCCACAAAATAGGAGCAAATATTTGCAAACTATTCATCTGAGACGGGATTAATAACTGGAAATATAAGAAGCTCAAACAACTCAATAAAACAATTTAATTAAAAAACGAGCAAAAGACATGAGGAGACATTTCTCCACAAACAAAACATAGAAATGGCGATCACGTATATGAAAAAGTACTCGGCATCACTCATCATCAGAGAAATGTAAATTACAATCGCGATGAGTTTTCATCTCATCCCATTAAAATGCCTTTTAGGCCGGTGGCTCACGCCTGTAATTCCGGCACTTCAGGAAGCGGAGGTGGGCGGATCACCTGAGGTCGGGAGACCAGCCTGACCATCATGGAGAAACTCCCTCTCTACTAAACATACAAAAATTAGCTAGGCGTGGTGGCACACGCCTGTAATCCCAGCTACTTTGGAGGCTGAGGCAGGAGAATCAGTTGAACGCGGGAGGCGGAGGTTGCAGTGAGCTGAGATCACACCCTTGCACTCCAGCCTGGGCGACTATGAGTGAAACTCCATCTCAACATAAATAAATAAATAAAATAAAGTAAAGTAAAATGGCTTTTATCTGCAAGACAGGCAAAACAAATGCTGGCAAGATGGTAGAGAAAGGAGAACCCTGGTACCCTGTTGGTAGGAATGTAAATTAGTACAACTATTATGGAGAAAAGTATGGAAATTCTTTAAAAAACTAAAAGGAGGCTGGGCATAGTGGCTTATGCCTGTAATTTCAGCACTTTGGGAAACCGAGGCAGGCACCTCACTTGAGGTCAGGAGTTTGAGAGCAGCCTGCCCAAAATTGGGATATCCCGTCTGTGCTAAAAAAATACAAAAATTAGCCAGGCATGGTGGCATGCACCTGTAATCACAGCTACTAGGGAGGCTGAGTCAGGACAATCATTTGAACCTAGGAGGCACAGGTTGCAATGAGCCAAGATCTCACCACTTAGACTCCAGCTTGGACTAAGGAGGGAAACTCTTTCTCAAAAAAGAAAAAAAAAAAAAAGAGAACTTTCATAGTATCCAGCAATTTCACTACTGGGTTTATATCCAAAGGAAAGGACATCAGTGTATCGAAGTGATATCTGCACTCATATGACTGTTCCAGCACTGTTCACAGTAGCCAAGATGTGGAGTCAACCTACCTGCCTATCAGTGGGTGAATGGATAGAGAACTGTGGTACACACACACAGTGGAGACTACTCATCCATAGAAACAATAACATCCTGTCATTTGCAGCCACATGGATGGAACTGGAGGTCATTACAAAGATTCCCATTTCTCACCCACATGCAGGAGATAAAAGGTGGATCTCATGAAGGTGGAGAATACAATGGTGGACACCAGAGGCCAGGAAGGGAAGGGTGGAGGGTAACAAAAAAAAGAATATAGATGTATTTATTTATTTAGAAACAGAGTCTCTCTCTGTCTCCCAGGCTGCAGTGCAGTGGCATGATCTCGGCTCAGTGCAACCTCGGCCTCCTGGCTTTAAGTGCTTCTCCTGCCTCAGCCTCCCAAGTAGCTAGGACTACAGGTGCATGCCAGCATGCTCGGCTAATTTTTCTTGTCTGTTTAGTAAAGATGAATTTCCCACATGTTGGCCAGGGTGATCTCGAGTTCCTGATCTTAAATGATCCACCTTCCTTGGCCTCTCAAAGCGCCGAGATTACAACTGTGAACCACCACGCCCAGCATATAAAGGTATTTATGACCACTAGATTTTACTTTTAAAAATGGTAAAGGTGGTAAATTATATAGTTACATTTAACCTCAATAAATATTTTTGAAAATGAAAAGAAAAGGGTGTAGGGGTTGCTGGTGATGATATCTCTCTGTGTGGGTGAGAGGCCATGATGGGCTTCTGGGAAATGGGTAAGATTGAGGGGCTGAGGGAACCTCTGATCTCCCCAAACTAAGCCCAGTCTCCCCTTCTCTGGGTCTGTCCTGACCGCTTTCTCCATCTGCCTGGGTGCCTGGAGCCCTGATCGGAGGCCTCCATGCAGGCCATGAAGGAGGGTTTGGAGGTGCCCTGTCTGCCATCCTGCGCCCTGACTCCGCCCTCACACCTGCTGTGTCTTCTCTCTGCATCTGTCCATGCTTTTCTCCATCATCAGCAGGAAGCTCCTTAGCTAAGGATTTAGGATCATAGGACATGAGAGAGATATGGGCTTTTCTCACCTGTGACAGAAACAAGCAGTGGGTCACTCGGGTCTGACCACTCGTAGGGAGAGTGACGGAAAGAGCCGAAGCATCTGTAGGTCCCTCCGTGGGTGGCAGGGCCCAGAGGGAAATCTGCCTGGAATGTTCTGTTGACCTTGCGCACTGCAGGGAGCCTACGTTCATGGGCTCCCCCCTCCCTGGATAGATGGTACATGTCATAGGAGCTCCGGGAGCTACAGGACAAGGTCACGCTCTCTCCTGCCTGAACCTTGGGGCCCGGCTGGGCTGAGAGAGAAGGTTTCTCATATAGACCTGGAAGGAGAAGAGGCAGTTTCCTCAGGGAGGTTCTTCCTTGTCACAGCTCCCCTCACACCTGAGCTGAGAACTCACTCCCCTGCTCTATGACCTAATGCTCTCTCTCTCTCTCTCACTCTCCACCCCATCTCTCTTCATATCTGTTTCCTCCTTCTACCTTTTCTGTCTCTCTAGGTCTATGACCTCACTTCCCCACCCTGAGGTATGTTTTCCCTTTTTGGATTGTTTTATTCTCTCTGACCCTCCTTGGATTGGTTGACTTGATCTTCCTTTTTCTTTAATTTTGAGTCTCTCACTTTCTGTCTTGTTCATAACTTTCTGCACATTTCTATCTATTATCTATCGATCTATCTATTTATCTATTTTGTGTCTATCTACAAATTATCTATCATCTATATTTATGTATCACTTATCTATCTCTCTATCAATTGTCTATCTGTCTATCTATCCATCAATCATCTATTATCTATATATGTATCATCTATCTCTCTCTCTATTACCTCTCTGTCTGCCTCTCTGTCTCTATTTATGTATCATCTATGTATATATCTATGTGTCTATCATCATCATCGTCATCATCATCATCTCTATGTATCATCTATCAGTCATCATCTATGTATCTATAACCAATCCATTATCTATCATCTACCTATTTATCATCTATCTACGTCTATCTATCCATCTATCATCTCTCTCTCTCCGTCTCCTTGTCTTTCTCTGCCTCTCAGTCTCTCTAGTTCTATTTGGAATCTCTGCAATCCATCCCCACATCTTTATCTTTCTCTGTCTTTGTGTCCCTCCCTCAGGGTTCTGATTTTGGGGCTTTTCTCTCCTCCTTTCCATCATTCTCTCCACTCTGCCCTCTTTTCTTTCTTTTTATGTGTCTGTGAATCTCTTAATCTCCTTCTTCTGGCTCATTTTGTGTGTGTTTATGTCTTTGCTTTTTGGTGTCCCTGATTTTTCTCTGTGTCTCTCAGCGATCCTATCATATGTGGGATTATTTGGAATATGAGCCTCAGAATCCAGTCTGGGGACCCCAAGTTCACACAGCATACAGGGGTTGGTGTTCTGGGGCCATGATATCCTGGGATGATTACTCTCCATTGCATGGAAGGCAGAGGTGTCAGAATAAACACGGCATCTGTAGGTGGCACAAGGCCTGAGGCCACAGGGCCCAACTCAGGTCAGAAATATGGGTGTCCTTGGGTTCTTCTGGTAGAAACACTTTGTGGAGGTAAAACAGAAATGAAACTTCTAACCTGTGCCAGGTCTCTGAGCAAAGTCAGCATGGAAGGACACCTCTCTCTGGGACATGTCTGTCTGTCTGAGTGTCTCCTTTACCTCTTTCTCTCTTTTCTACCTCCCTGTATGGCCCCTGTGTCTGTCCCCTGTTATGACACCTGTTCTGTACTTATGTCTCCTGTTTCTCTGTCTCTGTTGGTACAGACCTCACCAAGTCACTCTCTTTCCATAAGAATCCCACACTTATCTTCCTCATGACCACCTGGGGGTTCCAAGTCCTGGATCATTCACTCTGTGTCCCAGTGACAATGAGAACAATGTCTAGACACTCTCACCTGTGACCACGATGTCCAGGGGATCACTGGGAGCTGACAACTGATAGGGGGTGTGAGTAACAGAACCGTAGCATCTGTAGGTCCCTGCAAGGGCACGCATCATGGAACCGATGGAGAAATTGGCCTTGGAGACCCCATCATGGATCTGTCCAACGAGGCGTGAGGGGTCCTTAGAGATCCACTCTTTGTGCAGAAAGAAGTGCTCAAACATGATATCTGACCAACATTGCAGGATGACTCTCTCTCCTGATTTCACCAGGGGACCTGGGTGGGCCAGGAGGGAAGGTTTTCTGTGGTTTCCTAGAAAGAGAAGTTGTGAGTTTAGAAGGCATCTCTCTTTATCATCCCATCCATGGCACCTGGAATGAGTGAGGGTTCCCCTCCCCGTGTCTGTCTCTCTCCTCCCTCTCTGCATCTCCGTGTCTTTTCTGTGCCCATATCCCCTGGTGCAGGTGCCTCCATCTGTCTTCCTCCCTCTTCTCTGTCCCTCTGTCTCCAGTAGCCCCTGACTCCCTTGCCACTGTGAAGACAGCCTCATCTCTTGGGCTGTTGTATCTGTTTCCCACTAATCTCTTTCCTGCTGTTTATATGGGGGTGGAAGAGGACAGGCTGCATGTCCAGGCTCTTAGCAGCCTGAATCAATCTCTTTTGAACAAATTGGAGTCTCTGGCAGGTGGTATCAACTCATCAGTAAGACAGACATCAGTGACCACACACCCTGTTCCTGATGGGGATTGGGAGCCTCTCCTGCCATGTCTGTGCCTTCTCCATGGCCCCAGCTTCCATAGGGTGGCCCCTGGTGCTGGTTCCAGGAGCATCAACCCCTTCCTATGTGGATGGAGCCTGGTGGTAACATCAGCATCCTGCCCTTGCTGATCTCAGGGTAGCCAACCTTCTCCTTGTTTGGTTTCTTTAATTAATTGATTAATTAATTTATTTTTGAGACAGTCACTTTTTCACCCAGGCTGGAGTGTAGTGGTGTTGTCTTGGCTCACTGAAACCTCTGCCTCCCCAGTTCAAGTGATTCTCTTGCCTCAGCCTCCCCAGTCGTTGGATTACTCGCGCCCACCACCACACCTGGCTGTCCTTGTTTGGTTTCCTAACTTGTCCTTGACCTGGGTTCCTAACTTGTCCTTGACCTGGGTTCCTGTGTTGGTTTCCTGTTGCTGCTGCAGAAAATTACCACAAACATGGCAGCAGGAGAGAACACACTGACCCCTTCCACTTCTGGAGACAGAAATTGGATCCAGTTCTCCCTGTGCTGAAATCAAGGCGTCTACAGGGCTGCGTTCCCTCTGGAGAATCAGCGAATCAGTTCTCCTGACTTCTCCAGCCCTTAGAGGCCACCTGCATTCTGTGACTAGTGGTCTTCCTCCACTTTCAAAGCCCGCAGTGGCTGATAGCGTCTCCCTCCCACTACACTGCTCTAATCCCCACTCCCCTCTTCCTCCACCTCTCACGCGGACCCTTGTGATTACACTGAGCCCAGTGGGACAGTCCAGGCTGTCTCCCCATCTCAAGGTCAACTCATCAACAACCTGAGCTCCACCTTCCCCTTCAGTCCCCTGCCCTATAACATAAATAGTCACAGGCTCCAGGGATTACAATGTAGCCATCATTGGGGACAGTTATTCTTCCCACCACAGCACCCATTTGCCCTGTATTCAATCTCCCTTGACCCCAAATACAGCCAGGGCCTGGGTGATGGGACCCTGACGGACAGCCCCACCAGAAGCTCTGGGATTCAGGAGGTGGGACAGTGAGAAGCCCAGACGGAAAGCCTCTGACCTGTGACCATGATCACCATGGGGTTGCTGGGTGCCGACCACCCAGTGGGGGAGTGTGGGTGTGAACCCCGACATGTGTAGTTCCCTGCATGTGCTGTGGTCACAGGGCTCATGTTGAAGCCCTCCTGGAATATTCTGCCATGGAAGATGGGAACGTGGATTCTGTCTTCTTTGTATAGCATGAAATTGTTAAACCTATGACGATAGTGACACCGAAGAGTCACGTGTCCTCCGCGAGGCACCACAGCGCTGGGCCAGGCAGACAGGAAGGGCTTGTCCTGACCACCTGGGGGAGAAGGAGGCACTGCCTTAGAGAGGAGGATGTGGAGCCGCCCCTCACTCCCAGTGCCCAGAAGATTCTCCCCATTTCCACTTTCTAAGGCTCCTACCACACCTGGGTGCCCAGGGCTACAGGAAGGACCCATCCTGCATAGACATGGCGTCTCCCTACAACAAGTGTCAGCTGAGAACTTTGAGCAAGTGCTGGAGAAGCAACTCTTACTAGATTTTAATACTGCAAAATTACTCATATAAAACAATACAAAGTAGACACGGCATGGAGGGCAAGTCCTATGTGAATGGAATATCAGCCAATTGATGAACTGAGCCCCCATCAGAGGATTTGGAATGTCAGGGCCATGGCTGTGGTTTCCTCACCTTTTCTGGTAGAAAGACCGCAGCCACACTGCAGCCCCTACCATCACGGAAACGCTGGAGGGTGTGAGTTACACCTTTGTCCTCAGAGGACCTGCTGTTCCTAGCACTGCTTCCCTCTCTTTCTCTGCTGCTGACACCACTTCCTCCCTGCACACCCATCTTGGAGCACCCTAGTCTCACCCCAGTCTTCACAGAGCTTGACTCAGGAAAGGGAAAGAAAGGCCGGGGAGGGCAAGGTCAGAAATGTGGGCCGAGCATCCGAGGGTCCCCTCTTCCTAGTGTATGAGAGACTCCCCGACAGGACTTCCCTCCCATTTCAGGAAAATCCTCTTATGTGGGGAGATGACACCCTAAGGTTTGGGGAAGGACTCACCCATGTGTGGACCGGCCCTCTGGACCAAGAACAACCCTAGAAAGAAAGATCATGATGGACCATCCATCTGCAGGCAAACCAGGGCACCCTGCTGCCCCCACTGGGTTGTGCGTCTTGGCAGCCAGGCCCTTGCTGGGCTGAAGGTAAACTCACCCTCGCTGCCTACCTGCCCCCAGGAACAAGGATCTCGGCTGTGCAGAGACTCAGCCTCCAGGCCCAGATCTCTACCTCCAGGCCTAGATCTACACAACAGGCCCAGATCTCCACTCCAGGTCCGTATCTCCACTCCAGACCCATATCTCCTCTCCAGGCTGATAAGTCCACTCCAGGCCCATATCTCCACTCCAGGCTCCTATCTCAACTCCAGGCTCATATATCCACTCCAGGCTCATATCTCCACTCCAGGCCCATATTTCCACTCCAGGCTTCTATCTCCTCTCCAGGCCCATATCTCCTTTCCAGGCTTGTATGTCTGCTCCAGGCCCGTATCTCCACCCCAGGCCCATATCTCCACTCCAGGATCATATCTCCACTCCAGGCCCAGATCTCCACTTCATGCCCTTAACTCCACCTCCGGGCCCATAACTCCACCTCTAGGCCCATATCTCCACTCCAGGCCCATATCTCCACTTCAGGCCCATATCTCTACTGCAGGCCCATAACTCCACCTCCAGGCCCATATCTCCACTCCAGGCCCATCGCTCCACTTCTAGGCCCATCACTCCACCTCTAGGCCCACATCTCCCCTCCAGGCCCATATCTCCCCTCCAGGCCCATATCTCCACCCCAGGCACATATCTCCACCCCAGGCCCATATCTCCACTCCAGGCCCAGATCTCCACTCCAGGCACATATCTCCACCCCAGGCCCCTATCTCCACTCCAGGCCCAGATCTCCACTCCAGGCCCAGATCTCCACTTCAGGCCCATAACTCCACCTCCAGGCCCATAACTCCACCTCTAGGCCCATATCTTTACCTCCAGGTCCAGATCTCCATCCCCGCACTCCCTCCCTCGATTCCCTTCCAGGACTCACCAACACACGCCATGCTGACGACCATGAGCAACATGGTGCTGCCGGTGCAGACAGGCGGCTGCGCCCCAGCTCAGCTCAGCAGCGCACAGGATGTTATTTGGCGCCCTGCCCATGCAGTTTACATGTTGACCACATCATGGGAGGGTGACGTACGCAGGCTCTTTCTACCTTGCATGAGGCCCAGTGGGTGCTCGCTCAAGAGCGGAGCATGGCTTCCTGGAAATTGCTCTCACTAGAATTGACACCTCGCGTCCTTCACTATGACCAACTCAAAACACGTCTCAGATCCAACCTCCTGAACACGAGATGCCTAAAATCTGTGCTAACATGAAAGACTTTTCATGTATTTTTATTGCTTTTATCTGAGATTCAAACTCTTCTTCCTGTGTAATATGCAAAATATCTAATAGGTATTATTAAGGTTTTCAGAGCAATTGTGACTAATAAACCATTAGAATTTTTCATGATTGTATTTCTAGTATTACAGCAGAACCAGTTCAAATGATTTAAACTCCCAGGGAAGGATTATGCAATTATTTACAATCTTAGAATTGTACTTTATCAGCAAAAATCACAACATGTAAATTCTGGATTTTTGTAGATTTATCTAGAATTTGTCTCATGTCCCAAGATTCCAGAGTTCCAACTCATGGTTTGCTCTCTCTCTGTCTCTCTGCCTCCCTCATTTTAAATTTTACAGAAATATCCAGTAACATAATGCTATAGAAAATCAATTTCCCCAGCACTTTGGAAGCCGAGGTGAGTGATCAACCGAGGTCAGGAGTTTGAGACCAGCCTGGCCAATATAGTGAAACCATGTCTCTGCTAAAAATACAAAAATTAGCCATGCCTGGTAGCAGGCACTTGTAATGCCAGCTATTCAAGAGGCTGAGGCACGGAATCCCTTGAACCTGGGAGGCAGAAGTTGCAGTGAGCCGAGATCGTGCCACTGCACTCCAGCCTGGGCAACAGAGCGAGACTCTGCCTCAAGAAAAATAAAAAAAGCATAGCAAATAGCCTATAATAAATAACTAGAGGACTCCAGCTACCAAATTTTAGGGGTTGTATAAGGCTGCATAAAATGCAGCATTCTCAAGAGAGTGGACAGAGAGAGAGCCACTGAGCAGAAAACAGTGTCTAAAATACATCCGTGTACACACAGTCCCTTTATAGTTGACAAAGGCTGCCATGTGGTTTAAGGTGGAATAGAATGTCTTCTCAATAAATAACATGGGCCCAAGGGTTACACATGGAGAAAAATATATCTAAAAGTATTCTCACACTATAAAACACTTGTTTATTTTATCTTGTTATTGTAATTTTTTTATGTTTTATATTTAAAATTGAGAAATAAAAATTATATACAGTCATCCCTCATTATTCGTGGGTGATTGGTCTCAGGATCTCCACTCAGATAGCACAATCTGCAGATGCTCAAGCCTCTTACATGAAATGGCACAGCATTTGCAAATAACCCATGCACATCCTCCTGTGTACATGAAATCATCCCTTGATTATTTATAATTCCTGATACAGCCTACACACAGCTTCATTTGTGTCCATTCAACATAGTTTTGCTTTTTGAAACTTTGTGGATTTTTTCTCTGAATATTTTTGATTTATATTTGGTTCAATAAACACCTGTAAATCCCACAGATACAGAGGACCGACTGTATATTTATAGTATGAAAGATGATGTGTTGATATGTGTCCCCGTGGAGATGAGACTAACAAGGCCTATGACTCTACAAATGTTTCATCATGGAATGACTCTGCCAGCTTTCCAGGTCTGCAGAGAGTAAGAATATCACTTGTTCATGTGATTCACGATCCTTGGAACCTCTTATGTGCTGCATCTTTGGATGGAAATTGGAGTCTCAGAGACAAATGAGGCTCCACCCTGCTTCCAGAAGCTCAGAGTCCAGGGGTGAGAACCCAGTGGAGAACAGTTGGAGTTATTTGGACATGGTAATGATAACACTGGAAACTTTCAGCCAAAAAAAGAGTCACCTAAAGAATGAAGGCAGACATGTTTATTTGAAGAGGAGAGAACTACACTGAAATCAAAAAAATTTTATAAGGTTTGCTGATGCCAGAAGGCTGAAAAATAGTCTGAGGAAAGGTGGAACAGCACGAGGGAAGGTGGAACAGCACGTGTCTAAGTGCCGTGTTAAGAGAGAGCCTCTTGTATGTTTGGAATTGTGAGTTCCTCAGTGTGATTGCAGCCTCAAGTAGACTAGGAAGTAAGCCAGTTAGGTTGGAGAGGTGGGCAGGGGTCAAGTGAAATAGAGAATTGTGGGCTAAGCAAAGGAGTGTGTTTTCTCTGCAGCAGGCAGTGGGGACCTTAGACATTGGTAAGCAAGAGACAGGCACCAGATTTGTGGTGTGAGGAAGAGTGATGCTCTAAGATGGAGACTCACGCCTTCAGATTCCAGCTGCTGGTACATTAGAGCTGGCAAGCTGGGTTTGAGACAGGGCTGTTGTCTCCCTAGAAGATCCCATCAAGGCCTGACTGTGGTGCTCATGGGCAGGAGACAACGCTCTGGGCTCAGCATTTGGAAGTTCTATACACACGCTGGTATCTGTTGAGGGTCTCTTGCTCCTCTGAGAAGGGCCAGTGATTTTTCTCTGTGTGAAAATGCAGTGATCCAACTGTGCGTATGTCACCTCCTGAGGGTCTTGTTCATCAGAGTCCTGGAGAGAGGGAAATCCTGAGTGAGGGAGGGTGTTCACATTTTTCAGGACTATTAGGGAATAAGACTGTATCCATGAGGCTGGGCTAGGAGGACCTACCTCCCTGTTCACTGTTCTGTGTCCCGCAGGCTCTTGGTTCATTACAGCAGCATCTGTAGGAGACGGAAGCAATCGAAACAGCTGGGAGGGCACTTCTGGGTCCTCATTTCATGAACAGATACCAACACACAGGGGGAGGCCATAGGTGCCTGAGGTCCCTCAGCTGCCAACAGCCAGACTCAGACATTCCATCTCTCTGAGTGCAAGACCCCATTCCATGAATAGCTGTCAGTTCCCATCCCATTGATTCTATCTCCCACTTTCTGCCTGTCATGGAATCTTCTCCTGGATGTGAGTGGCTGCAGGGGACGTGAGGATACAGTTCACAATCAGGCAATGGTCTGTGAGCTGAAGGCAGGGGCAGGTTGTCTGGTGCTCTCTCTAGAAAGCTCTGCCTCTGGCTCCTGCCTTGGGCCAGAGACTTTCCTGCCAGTGAGGAACACACACCTGCGTGCTCCCATCCTGCTTCCGCACAGGGCCCTGAGTTCTCTGGCCTCTGCTTCGTGAGGCTTACTTTTTTTTTTGGAGCACCAGCGATGAAGGAGAAAGAAGGGAAGGATGGTGAAGAGGATGATGGCCACTGAGTACCTAATCACAGCATGCAGGTGTCTGGCGATACCTGGAGGAAGATGAGAATCCAATAAGAAGCTAACCATAGCAGTTCCTCTTTGTGGATTGTCTCTCATTTCTTGGTTGCCAGGCAACCACATAAAACACCTCTTTAGGACAAGCACCCACGAGGCGGGAGACCCAGCTTTCTCCTGCTTTCTCCGTTATAGTTTTCATAATAACAATAGAATGTGCTGATGATACAACTGCTATTGTTTCAATGTTTGACCCCTCCAAACCCCACTTTGAAATTTAATCCCCAGTGTGGGAGGTTGTGCCTATTGGGAGGGGTGTTTTGGTCATGGGGGTGGATCCATCATGAATAGATTAATGCTGTCCCCAGAGGACGGGGTTAGCAAGTTCTCCCTCTATTAGTACCCTGGAGAGTTGATTCTTAAAAAGAGCTTGGAAGCTCCATCACACCCCCTTTCTCCCTCTCTTGCCATGTGATCTCTGTGGTCTCTGCACACGCAGGACCCCCTTCTCTTCTGTCAGTGTGGGAGCAGCCTGAGGCCGCAGCCAGAAATAGATGGTAGTGTCCTGCTTCTAGTACAGCGTGCAGATCAGTGAGCCAAACACATCTCTTTTCTTTAGAAGATACCCAGGCTCAAGTGTTCTTTTATAGCAACAAAAATAGGCTAAGACAGCAACATCCTGAGATCAGGAGGAACGTCTCAGAACAGCCTGGGCTGTCTTCCTGTTCTTCCTGGAGGAGAACATCATGCAGTGCTTTAGCTGAGTGTTCCCTGTGGCTCCAGGGTACAAAACCCAGGCTGGGCTGCTTTCTGGCTTCCCCCAGCTACAGTGCACATGAAGTGACTCCATGTGTCCTGAGCAGTTTTTCTGAGCCTTGAGGGACTGGCTCACCCTGAAAGGAAGGTTTCTGTTGTCACTCGCTGCTTATCTATAAGTAATGAACCTGCCTATGTAATGTATTCCCTGTGTGTTCTGTCTCCCTGGAGTGATGGTGAGTGATAGAAATTGGCACAGCCCCAGGTGCAGTATGGGAGGTGTTTAGAGTCTTCTCTGGGAAGACTGGACTGGGATTGATACACAGTGAATGTGCTTTACAGTTTCTACATCCACAACCCTCTTGACTCAAACAAATTACATTCTCCAAGAAAAGGAAAAAACAGTGACATTGAAATCAACATAAGTGAGGTTGAGCTGTCTTATATCAAACAGCCAGGAAATAATGATGAAGCTCGTGGGCAACATGCTACTTTTGTCATCTTGGGAGTCAGATATTAGGCTGCTGTTCCACCCGAGAGTCTGGGGGAAAGACCACCCCCTCCATCATCTGTTGCTTCAATACAGCCTGTCTTTCTGTGAATTACTCCAAAAGGTGACCAGGAGATAGTGCTGGCACTGGTCTCTGAGTCTACGATCTGAACTCCAAAGAATATTAGTTTTTACCTCCCCATGATCTATCTGTATCATTAATGTGATTGGAAGTAGGGGTGAGGTGGGGGATTTGGGTGAAGGGGCAAGTTTTGTGCCATGAACAGATCACGTTCTCTATTCCAGGACCTGCGCTGGTGGGTTTCACATTTTCCATATGATCTCATGCTCACAGAAAGCCAAATAAGGAAGATGTTTTCGCCTGATTTTCTTATGGATAGGATAAAGGATCAAAGAAGTCATTATAGAGAAATAGAAAAATGATGATTGGAATTGGTGTGCCTTTGTCATTCGTGTATGTTATATTATATTTATGTATTCTTTATTTTTATTTTTTGCCATGGAGTCTCACTCTGTCACCTAGGGTGCAGTGCAATGACGCGATCTTGGCTCACTGTAACCTCTCCCTCCCTGGTTGAAGCCATTCTCCTTCTTCAACTTCCCGAATAGCTGGTATTACAGGCATGCGCCACCACCCCCAGCTAGTTTTTGTATATTTAGTAGAGATGGGGTTTCACCATGTTGTCCAGGCTGATCTCGAACTCCTGATCTCACTTGATCCAGCCTCCTCAGCCTCCCAAAATGTTGGGTTACAGGTGTGAGCCACCGTTCAGAACCTTGTGTGTTATATTATAATAGGTCTCTTCCTTTGCACCACCCCTCATGTATCTCTCACTCCTCTGCCAAGTATTGATTTACATGTAGGAAAAATAAATCTCAGAAAGAAATCAATGAAGTGAAGATTAAACAATTAGGAAAAATCAAAGCAGGCAAGCCCTCCCTGCAAATTACTCTACCTCACAAACACATCTTGTGTCCATCTTTCATTCATTTAGTGTCTAAATCAGCACCACATTTCACCAGGGGGGCGGGAATTGCCTTTTCCACAGTCTCCTAGATTCCAGTTATGCACCTGGGCCTCCCTTATTTTCATGTCAGTCACTATTCATCATGTAGGGATTCCCAGTTAGCCCCGAGGTAAGTCCAATGGCTGTGAGTGTCAAACACACGCTCCTTGTTCCTCCTTAGTTTCCTGTGTACCCAGAGTGCTCTCTGTCTCTCCACAGTCGTCTTGTCATTCTCCCCATCTCATTCCCAGCATTTCAGGCAGAGCCTCTTCCTTCCACATAACATTGTTTTCACCTTTGTGCCTTCACGGCTGACAGCTGTGTGGAAAATCCTTCCGCCAATCTTCCAGGGGTTGATCTATTTTTTTCATTAAGGTCACAAGTATTATTTGATCAGTGAGAACTTCTCTGTCACCCGAAATTATACACTCAGCATTATCTATTATTTCTTTTAAAATACGGCTCGGCGCCTTGGCTCACGCCTCGAATCTCAGCACTTTGGGAGGCTGAGACGGGCGGATCCCTTAAGGTTGGGAGTTTGAGATAGCCTGGGCAACATGGTAAAACCTTGTCTGTACTAAAAAAAAAATACCAAAAAAAAATTAGCCAGGCGTGGTGGGACATGGGTGTAATCCCAGCCTCTCGGGAAGCTGAGTGTAGAGAATCGCTTTAACCTGGGAGGTGGAGGTTGCGGTGAGCCGAGATCCCGCCACTGCACTCCAGCCTGGGGCACAGAGGGAGACACCGTCTCATAAAAACAACCAATCAATCAATCATTCTCATGCACAGATGCTTCCCAATGGATCATTCATTTATTGGTCCACTGGTGCATTCATTTTCTGCCCTCCCATTTAATCCTTTGCAATATCAGTGTCCAAGAGCAGAGGCCAAATGCACCTTGTTTACCATTTGTGGAAAGGATAAGAATGCCGCCCCACCCCAAAATGTTCCTGTCCTAGTCGCCATATCTTGTGAATATGTTATTTTACATGGAAAAAAGGAATGCAGATTGCAGATGGAATTACGGTTGCTAATCAGCTAACCTTAAAAGGAGGGTATCCTAGATGATTTTAGGGAAATTATGATGGATTATCTTGGTGTTTCCAATAGAATGCCAAAGTCCTTAAAAGATGAGGAAGAAGGCAGAGCAGCATTCAGAGAAAGAGGTGTGGACAAGGAAGAAGGGTCTGAGTGATGCCGTGTGAGAGGCGTGACCAGCCTTTGTGGACTTTGAGGGAGGAAGACGGGGACCAGGAGCCAAGGAATGTGGGAGCCTCTAGGAGCTGGGAAAAGTGAGGAAGCAGATTCTTGCCTGGAACATTCAGAGGGAAGGCAGCCTTGCTGTCACCTTGATTTTAGCCCAGTGAGATGATGCATTTCATACTTCTGAGCTACAGCACCATGAGATATTTTTTTAAAATGTGGTTTCCATCCACGAAGCTTGTGGAAATTTGTTATGGCAACATAGGAAAAGGTTCCACACTGCACAGTCTGAGCATGGGGCAGTGGCTGAACGAGTAAGTGGAAGTGTCATGTGCACGGATGAACTACGTTCTCTCTTACCGCAAAGCTCTTGTTCCACTAAGTCAACCAGGGTTGGATCATGACAGACAGGAGCTCATTCCTTGGCAAGTAGAACTTCTCTACAAATACACCACCCTCAAAAATGTTCCCCGTCCTTCCCCTTCTCAAGCCCCCAGGCATTTGTCCTCCCAGTTAGGAATGCAGGCAGAACAAACACAGCATTTTTCCTGAGAAGAATGTCTGATTTGCACTCATCCTTCTACCCTGAGGTCTCAGCAGCAGAAAATTAGAGATTAAGAGATTTCACTGAGCCCTGTGCTGGGCCCAGATCCCTTTCGCTGTTGGAGTGTCTGGGGTTCAGAGACAATGGAAGACAGGCCCACAATCACAGAGCTGGCAGGTGCTGAGCCAACGCTTGAATCCAAGGCTTCTACCTCCCCAGGTTTCCAAAAGCAGAGATAAGAGGGGTCCTTCACTTACCAGTTTTGAAGCTTGGTTCAGTGGGTGAAGGCCAACTACTAGAAGGGTTTCCTAGAACATGGGACAGGAGAGAGGTGTGGCAATGAGGATGCCTGTCTTCTACTCAATGGAAATCTTTGAGGTTGGTTCATGGCCAACATTCTATTATCTAATGTTGGGCCCTGGGAGTCCTGGCATCCCATTCTCCATAATCATTGTAGGTGACACCAACTATCTTGAGACTTCAAGGTATAAGGAGAAAACAGGAGCATCACACTACCTGACTTAAAAATATGTTACAGAGCTGTAGTAAGCAAAACAACATGACATTGGCATAAAGAAAAGCACATAAAACAATGGAGCAGAATGAAGAACACGGATGTAATCCACCCATTTACATCCAATGGACTTTGACAAAGGTTCGAAGAATCTACAATCTGGAAAGGACAGTCATTTCAATAAATGGTGCAGGGAAAACTGGATATCTACATGCAGAGGGATGAAACTGCACCTCTACCTCTCACCATACACAAAAATCAGATGAAAATGGATTAATGACTTAAGACCTGAATCCATTAAATGTCTAAAAGGAAACACTGGAGAAATGCTCCAGGACATTTGTCTGAGGGAAGACATTTTGTTTAAAACCTCAAAAACACAAGTAATCACAACAACAACAAAAAAATAGACCATTGGGATTATATCAAATCAAGCAGCTTCTGCACCGCAAAGGAAGCAACCAATGAAGTGAAGAAGAGACAACCCACAGAATGGGAGCAAATATTTGCAAACTATGCATCTGAGATGGGATTAATAACTAGAATATAAAAGAAGCTCAAACACCTCAATAAAACTAATAATTTAATTATAAAATTAGTAAAAGACCTGAACAGACATTTCTCAATGAACAAAACATACAAATGAACATATATACATTGCATATATGAAAAAGTGCTCAGTATCACTAATCATCAGAGAAATGCAAATGAAGTCACAATGAGCTATCATCTCACCCCATTACAATGGGTTTTATCTCAGAGACAGACAAAACAAATGTTGGCAAGGTGGTGGAGAAAGGAGAACCCTGATACACTGTTGATAGGAATGTAAATTAATACAGCCATTACAGAGGAGAAGAATATGGAAGTTCCTTAAAAACTAAAAAGAGATTAGGCACTGTGGCTCACGCTTGTAATCCCAGCACCTTGGGAGGCTGAAGTGGGCAGATCACTGGAGGTCAAGAGTTCGAGACCAGCCTGGCTAACATGGTGAAACCCCGTCTCTACTAAAAATACAAAAATCAGCCAGGCGTGGTGGCGGGCACCAGTAATCCCAACTACTCGGGAGGCTGAGGCTGGAGAATCACTTGAATCCTGGAGGTAGAGGTTGCAGTGAGCCCAGGTGGTGCCATTGCACTCCAGCTTGGGCAACAAGAGTGAAACGCTATGTCAAAAAAACAAAAAGCATAAAACAAAACCTAAAAAGAGAACATCCAGAGGATCTAGCAATTCCACTAGTGGGTGTAAATGCAAAGAAAAGGACTTCAGTGTATTGAAGTGACATCTGCACTCCCATGACTGTTCCAGCACTGTTCACAGTAGCCAAGATGTGGAGTCAACCTACCTGCCCATCAGTGGATGAATGGATAGAGAGAATGTAGTACATACACACAATGGAGACAACTCATCCATACAAAGAGAAACGTCCTGTCATTTGCAGCCACATGGATGGACTGGAGGTCATTACAAGGATTGCCATTTCTTACTCACATGCAGGATGTAAAAGGTGGACCTCATGAAGGTAGAGAGTAGAATGGTGGATACCAGAGGTTAGGAAGGAAGGGGTGGAGGGTAACAAAAGAAGAATATAAAAGTATTTATTTATTTATTTAGAGACAGAGTCTCTCTGTGTCACCAGGCTGCAGTGCAGTGGCATGATCTCAGCTCACTGCAACCTCCTCCTCCTGGGTTTAAGCCACTCTCCCGCCTCAGCCTCCCAAGTTGCTGGGATTATAGGCGCCTGGCACCATGCCTGGCTAATTTTATTTTTTTTGTCTTTTTAGTAAAGATTGGTTCCCCCATGTTGGCCGGGCTGGTCTCCAGCCCCTGATTTTAAATGATCCACCTGCCTTGGCGTCTCAAAATGCTGAGATTACAGGCGTGAGCCACCGCACACAGCATATAAAGGTATTTATGATCCCTAGATTTTACACTTAAAAATGGTAAAGTTGATAAATTATATAGGTATATTTAACCTCAATCAGCATTTTTTCAAAGGAAAAGAAAAAGTGTAGGGGTTGCTGGTGATGACATCTCTGTGTAGGTGAGAGGCCAGGGTGGGCTTCTGGGAAATGGGTAAGGTTGAGGGGCTGAGGGAACCTCTGATCTCCCCAAACTGAGCCCAGTCTCCCTCCTCTGGGTCTGTCCTGACCACTTTCTCCATCTGCCTGGGTACCCGGAGCCCTTACTGCAAGCTTCCATGCAGGCCATGCAGGAGGGTTTGGAGGTGCCCTGTCTGCCATCCTGTGCCCTGATCCCACCCTCACACCATGCTGCATCTTCTCTCCACATCTGTCCATGCTTCTCTCCATCATCAGCAGGAAGCTCCTCAGCTAAGGCTCTAGGACCATAGGACATGGGACAGACATTGGCTTTCCTCACCTGTGACAGAAACAGGCAGTGGGTCACTCGGGTCTGACCACTCGTAGGGAGATCCATGGAAAGAGCCGAAGCATCTGTAGGTCTCTCCGTGGGTGGCAGGACCCAGAGGGAAGTCGGCCTGGAATGTTCCATTGATGCTGGGCACTGCAGGGAGCCTAAGTTCATGGGCTTCCCCCTCCCTGGATAGATGGTAGATGTCAAAGGAGCTCTGGGAGCTGCAGGACAAGGTCACGTTCTCTCCTGCGCGAACCGTGGGGCCCGGCCGGGCTGTAAGCGAAGGTTTCTCATATAGACCTGGAAGGAGAAGAGGCAGTTTCCTCAGGGAGGTTCTTCCTTGTCACAGCTCCCCTCCCACCTGAGCTGAGAACTCACTGCCCTGCTCTATGGCCTAGTGCTCTCTCTCTCTCTCTCTCTCTCACCCTCCACCCCCAACTCTTCCTGTCGATCCCTCCCTATGTGGTTCCAGCCTGGTGGTGGCATCAGCAGTGCACCCTTGCTGATCTCAGGGTAGCCAACCTTCTTGTTTGGTTTTTTAACTTGTCCTTCACCTGGGTTCCTGTGTTGGTTTCCTGATGTTGCTGGAGAAAATTATCACAAACATGGCGGCAGGAGAGAACACACTGACCCCTTCCACTTCTGGAGACAGAAATCAGACCCTGTTCTTCCTGGGCTACAATCAAGGCATCTGCAGGGCTGCATTCCCTCTGGAGACTCGGGAGAATCAGTTCCATTGATTTCTCCAGCCCCTTCGTGGCTCGTGGTCTTCCTCCACCTTCAAAGCCCACAGTGGCTGGTGGAGTATCCCACGATGCTGCTCTAATCCCCATTCTCCTCTTCCTTCTCCACTCATATGGACCCTTGTGATTACACTGAGCCCAGTGGGAGGGTCCAGGCCATCTCCCCATCTCAAGGTCAACTCATCAACAACCTGAGCTCCATCTTCCCCTTCAGTCCCCTGCCCTATAACATAGTCACAGGCTCCAAGGATTACAATGTGGCCATCGATGGGGACAGTTATTCTTTCCAACACAGCACCCATTCCCCTGTATTCAATCCCCCTTTACCCCAAATATAGTTGGGGCCTGGATGATCGGACTCTGGTGGACACCCCCACCAGAAGCTCTGGGACTCAGGAGGTGGGACAAGGAGAAGCCCAGACAGGAGCCCTCTGACCTGTGACCATGATCACCAGGGGGTTGCTGGGTGCCGACCACTCAGTGGGGGAGTGCGGGTGAAAACCTCGACATCTGTAGGTCCCTGCGTGTGCTGGGGTCACAGGGCTAATGAGGAAACTGTTCCAGAATATTCTGTTGTAGAGCTCAGGGACAGGGACCCCATCTTTCTTGTACAGCGTGAAGATGTTAAACCCACGACGACAGTGACACCGAAGAGTCACGTGTCCTCCTTGAGGCACCACAGCGCTGGGCCAGGCAGAGCAGAAGGGCTTGTCCTGACCACCTTGGGGAGAAGGAGATGCCGCCTCAGAGAGGAGTATGTTGAGCTGCCCCTCCCTCCCTGTGCTCAGAAGATTCTCCCCATTTCTTCTTTCTAAGGCTCCTACCACACCTGGGTGCCTGGGGCTACAGGAAGGACCCATCCCGCATAGACGTGGCGTCTCCCTACAACAAAAGTGTCAGTTGAGAACTGAGCAGGTGCTGAGTAAGGGACTCTTACTAGATTTTAATACTGCAAGATTAGTTACACCAAACAACACAAAGTAGACATGGGGTGGAGGGTATGACCTTTGTGAATGGAATATTAGCTAATGCCTGAACCACAATAAACAACTGAGCTCCATCAGAGGATTTGGAATGGCAGGGTCGTGGCTGTGGTTCCCCCACCTCTTCTGGCAGAATGACAGCAGCCACACTGCAGCCCCTACCGTCATGGAAACGCTGGAGGGTGTGAGTTACCCTCTTGTCCTCAGAGGACCTGCTGTTCCTAACACTGCTACCCTTCCCTCCTCTGTCGGTGACACCACATCCCCCCACACACCCCAGCTTTGAGCACCTCAGTATCCCGCCTGGGCCACACAGAGCTCAACTCAGCCATGGGGAAGAAAGGCTGGGGAGGGCTAAGACAAAACAGAAGGCTGAGCATACCAGGATCTCCTCTTACTAGTTCATGAGAGACTCCCAGGATCTCCTCTTACTAGTTCATGAGAGACTCCCAGGATCTCCTCTTACTAGTTCATGAGAGACTCCCCCCAGGCCTTCCCATGGTCAGCCCATCAGCCCACCCTCTGTGCTGCCTCCCTCCCATTTCCGGAAAATTCACTTGTATTGGGGTGAAGATGGCAACCCATCATTTGGGGAAGGACTCACCCACGTGTGCCCACACACTCTGGTCCAAGAAGAACCCTGCAAAGAAAGATCATGAGGAACTATTCATCTCGGCAGCAACCTACCCTTTCCTCCTGAGCCACTGGGCGCCACGCTGGACTGAAAATTAACTCATCCTCACCACTCACTTGCTTCAGAACATGGCTCTCTGCTGGGGAGACACCCAATCTGCAGGCCCATAGTGTAACCCTGGTGCTCCTTCCCTTCCAGGACTCACCAAGACATGCCAGGATGATGACCGTGGGTGACATGGACATGGTGCAGCTTCTGCTGCCAGGACGCAGTGACTCGGCTCGACTGACCGGTGCAGAGGATGTGGTGAGGGGCCCGGATCGTGCAGTTGACACATTGACCACAACATGTGAAGGGGACATAGGTAGGCTTCTTCTACGTCATATGAGGTTCAAGTGGTGAATCAGTCAAGGGAGGAATGAGGGTTTCTGAAAACTGCAGACTAGACTTGTCACTTCACATCATGCGCAACGGCCAGGCTCAAAACACATCTCAGACTCACTTACCCCTGCACGGGACGATTGAATTCTGCACTCACATGAGGAACTTTTGATGTATTTTTTTTTGTTTCTACCTGAGATTCAAACTCTCCTTGATATGTAATATGCAAAATACCTAATAGGTTTTATTAACACTATAGAGCAATCGTATTAAATAAATCATCATAATTTTCCATGGTTGTATTTTTCCTGTTAAGCCAGAAACAGATAAAATGATTTAAATCCCAGTAGAAAAGACTATATAGTTATTTCGCATCATAGAATTCCACCTTATTAGCAAAAACACAATATGTCAATTGAAGGTCTGGTCGTGTTATCTAGAATTTGTCTTATGACACAAGAGTCCAAATTCACAGTTCCCTGTCTCCCTTTTTGTCTCTCTGTAACGTGTGCTTTTTTTCTCCCTGTGTTGTTTGTGTGTCTTTCTTTCTCTCTCTCATTTGAGGAAAAAATATCAGACTGATAACATCCTCCAACTTGATACTGGAATATTGCAATAACTGAAGGTTGAAATCTACACATTTAATGTGCTGTCATTCTTACAAATGTCTCTTATTTACACCTACCTTTCTGGAGTTTGTAAGAACTTTTTCACTATGCATTTTAAATTTGTAAAACTCATAATTTTTAAAAAGGGATGGGTCTCACTGTTTGCCCAGGGTGGCCTTTACTCATTCTATAAGGCTGGCATCACCCTGATACTAAAGACAGAAAAGAACATTAAACAAAAGAAAACTACATGCCAATATTCCTGATGAACATAGAGGCAAAAATCCACAAAAAATACTAAGAACTGAATCCCGCAGCATATCAAAAAGTGAATCCACCATGATCAAGTCAACTTTATTCTTAGGGTGCAAGGTTGGTTGAACATACACAATCAATACATGTGATTCATCACCTAAACAAAACTAAAAACAAAAACCACATGATCTTCTCAACACACATGTAGAACATACTTTTTACTAAGCATTTCTTCATGTTAAAAGCCCTCAACAAGCTAAGCATTGAAGAAACATAACTCAATATAATAAGAGCCGCCTGTGACAAACCCACAACCAACATCATACTGAATGAGTAAAAGCTGGAAGAAGTTCCCTTCATAAGTGAAACAAGACAAGAATGCCCACTCTCACCATCCTATTCAACATAGTACTTGAAGTCCTAGACAGAGCCATCAGGAAAGAGAAAGAATTATAAGGCATCCAAGTAAGAAGAGAGTAGCAGAGAGAGGTAGTCAAATTACCTCTGTTTGAAGATGAGATAATTTCTATACCTAGAAACCCCATAGTCTCTGCCCAAAGGCTCCTACATCTGAGAAACAAACTTCAGCACAGTTTAAGGGCAGAAAGTCAATGTACAGGCTGGGTGTGGTGTCTCAGCCTGAAATCTAGCACTTTGGGAGGGCG
Source organism: Homo sapiens (assembly GCF_000001405.40). Taxonomy (NCBI): domain Eukaryota; kingdom Metazoa; phylum Chordata; class Mammalia; order Primates; family Hominidae; genus Homo; species Homo sapiens. The sequence continues at coordinate 133,971 of NW_016107310.1, read as the reverse complement.
AAGCGGGTGGATCACCTGAGGTCTGGAGTTCGAGACCAGCCTGGCCAACATGGCGAAACCCTGTCTCTACTAGAAACACAAATATAGCCGGACGGGGTGGTACGCAACTGTAGTCCCAGCTGCTTGGGAGGCTGAGTCAGGAGAACCGCTTGAACCTGGGAGGCAGAGGTTGCAGTGAGCGGAGATCACGCCATTGCACCTCAGCTTGGGCAACAACAGTGAAACTGCATCTCAAAAAAAAAACCAAAACAAATTTAATTAATGAGGAAAAGGGTATTTGTGGTGTCCATCATGATGTTTTCATATAGGTACACATTGTGGAATGGATGAAACAACCTCTTTATCATATTTATTTTTTCACATACTTGTATGTTTTGTGTGTGTGGTGAGAACATGTAAAATCTAATCTCTTAGTAATGTTCAATACACCATATGTTGCTATTAACTGGAGTCACCAAGACATACAATAGATCTCTTGAACCGATTTCTTCTAACTGAAATTTTGCATCCTTTGACCAACATCTCTTCAATCTCTCTCCATCCCAGGTTCTTTCGACGACCATTTTACTGTTCCTCTAGGTTCCACTTCTTACACTCCACACATGAGATCATGTGGCATTTGTCTTTCTGTGCCTGGATTGTTTCCCTTAACATAATGTCCTCTAAGTTTTTTCACATTGTCACAAATGAGAGGACTTCCTTCTTTGTTGTAAAGGTTGTATAGTACTTCATTACGTTCCTATCGTATACCACGTTTTCTTTGTCCATGCACCCATAGATGGGCAGTAAGGGTGATTCCACATCTTGGCTGTTATGAATAATGCGGCTGTAAACATGGGAATGCAGATATCTCTTCAACATACTGATTCCACTTCCTTTGGATACATGCGCAGTAGTTGGATTGCAGACACATATGGGAATTCTATGTTTAATTTTTTCAGGAACTTCCAGACTGTTTTCCATAATGGTTGTGCTAATTTACATTCCCATCAACTGCATACAAATGTTCCCTTTTCTCCACATCCTCGTTAACCCTTGTTATTTTTTATGTTTTTGATAATGGTCTTTTTTTTTTTTTTTTTTTGAGACTCAGTCTTGCTCTGTCACCCAGGCTGGAGTGCAGTGGCACAATCTCGGTGTACTGCAACCTCTGCCTCCTGGGTTCAAGCGATTCCCCTGCCTCAGTCTCCAGAGTAGCTGGGACTACAAGTGTGCGCCACCAAACTCTGCTAATTTTTGTATTTTTAGTAGGGATGGGGTTTCACCATATTGGCCAGGCTGGTTTCGAACTGCTGACCTCAGGTAATCTCCCTGCCTCGGCCTCCCAAAGTGCCTGAATTACAGGCATGAGCCACCATGCCCAGACTGTTAATGGTCATTCTAAGAGGTGTGAGGTGATATCTCATTCTAGTTTTAATTTTTATTTAGCTGATGTTTAGTAATGCTAATCATTTTTTCATATACCTTTTGGTGATTTGTCTTATTCTTAGAAATGTTTATTCAGATACTTTGCCCATTTTTTTAAGTTGGGTTATTTGATTTCTTACCATTGAGTTGTTTGAGTTTCTTATATATTTTGGATATTAATTCCTTATTAGATGTATGGGTGCAAATATATTCTCCCATTCCATAGGTTGTCTTTCCACTTGTTGAGTTTTTTTTTTCTTTGCAGAAACTTTCAATTTGATATAATGTTATTTGTCTACTTTTGCTTTTGTTGCCTGGGCCTTTGGGTTAATATCCAAAATGGTTTTGCCCAAGCCAGTGGAGTTTTCCCTTGATTTCTTTTAGTAGTTTTTTTTTTTTTTTTAAGATGGAGTCTCACTGTGTTGCCCCGGCTGGAGTGCAGTGGTGCGATCTCGGCTCACTGCAACCTCTACCTCCTGGGTTCAAGTGATTCTCCTGTCTCAACCTCCCGAGTAGCTGAGATTACAGGCACCCACAACCACACCCAGCTGTTTTTGTATTTTTAGTAGAGGCGGGATTTCACCATGTTGGCCATGCTGGTCTTGGAATCCTGACCTTAGGTGATCTGCCCACCTTGGCCTCCCAAATTGCTGGGATTATAGTCTTTCATCTTACATTTAAGTCATTAATCTATCTTGAGTTGACTTTGTATGTTTTGTGAGGCAAATGTCCACTTCCATTCTTCTGCATGTGGACATGCAGTCTCCCAATCCCATTTATTAAAGAGACTGTTCCTTCTCCATTGTGTGTTCTTGACACATCCCAAAAATTGTTTGACCCTAAATGCATGCATTTTTTTCCTGGGCTATGAATCACTTCCATTGGTCTATGTGTCTGTTTTTATGCAAGTACTGTGTTGTTTTAATTACTGTAATTTTGTAATGTAGTTTGTGTTTAGGTAATGTGATGCTTCCAACTTTGTTCCTTTCCCTCTAGATGGCTTTGGTTATTTGAGATCTTTTGTGGTTCCACATGAATTTTAGGACTGTTTTTTCTATTTCTGTAAAAAAAATGTCATTGGATTTTTGATAATGGTTGCATTGAATCACTTTGGATAGAATGGACATTTTAACAACATTAATCCTTCTGATCCGTGAACATGGAATATCTTTCGATTTATTTGTTTATTTCTTGAGTTTTTTCATCAATGTTTTATAGCTTTTGCATACAGATCTTTCTACTCCTTGGGTGAATTTATTCCTGCATGTTTTGTTTTCTGTAGTTATTGCAAATGGGCTTATTTTCTTGTAAACTTTTTTGGATAGTTTGTTGTTAATGTATAGAAACTTTGTTGTTGTTGTTGTTGTTGTTTTGATGATACCCATCCTAAGGGGTATGAAATGGCATCTGGTGTAGTTTTAGTTAGTATTTCCCTAATGATTCGTGATGCTGAATATCTTTTCATGCGTATGTTCTTTGGAGAAATGTCTGTTTCAGTACTTTGCCCATTTTTGAATTGAGTTTATTGTGATTGAGTTTTAGGAGTTGTCTGTATATTCTGGATGTTAATCCCTTACAGGTGGTGTGGTTTGAAAACATTTTCTCCCATTCTGTGGGTTGTCTTTTTACTTTGATAATATCGTCTTAAAAGTTCTTTTTCCTTGCCATGTGAAGTAACTGATGTTGTCTTTTGAGTCACAATATTTCAAAATTTTCATAAAGTCTAACTTGTTTATTTTTTCTGTAGTAGCCTGTGCCGTTGTTGTCACATCTAAAGAATCACTGCCAAATCCGATGTTGTGAAGTTTTCCTTTGTGTTTTCTTCTAAGACTTTAATTAAATTTTATTTGTCAATATTTAGGACTGACAAAAGCTTTTTAACATTCCTGGCACCATCTCAGTTATTGATCTACTCCCAAGATGGATCATTTCAATTAAAACATGTAAAGCATGACCTCACCTGAATGTGTTTGAACTTGCTCTTCTCCCTTTCAAATCGACTCCCTCACTTACATAGTTTGTGTTCAAATGTCAACAAATAAAACATAAAAAGAAATCAATCTTTTCATAGACCCTTTATCTAAAATAGAATAGTAGGTGCCATGACATTTCATCCTTTCATCTTGAATTATTTACTTTTCTACATGAACCAATCCATTCTTCTGTGTGCATGTGTGTGTGTGTGTGTGTGTGTAGTTTATCTGTCTACATATAATGTAAACACCAAAAAATAACAGACATTTAGTAATTTTCAAATGAGACTTCAGGAATTAACAATGGCTTGCCATTTTTAGTGTGTTATTATTATTATATTTAGATGAACAGAATTGCCTCAGGAACATGGCCAGGGGCTCATAGTCCAGGAGAACTGTGGCCTGACTCAGGTACATTTTACCTGCAATAACAGCAATTGCAGGTCACTGGAGTCCATCACAATTGGCTGGAGACAAATGTAAGACAAGAATATTTGCAGTTTCCCCAGACTGACACAGTTGCAGGTTCCCCGAAGTAATGAGTCCTGAGACACCTCCAACAAGAGCTAGAAAAGGTATCACTTCAAGAGGAGTTGCAGCCTACTCATTTTAGACAAATGGAGCAAAATTACAGTATCACATCTTTTCCTTTCTCCTTCATAGAATCTGGATGAACAGAACAGAAAGAGTTAATGGAATATAAGATTCCAATTCTCTGGCATGAGAAAATAGACAAGGAAAGGAAGATTCATCTTCATCACATCTCAGACATGCTTGGACACAGGGTCCAAGCACAAAAGAGAAACACATACTTCTTCCCATCCACACTGGGATCCAGGGTCTTCTCCCTCCTGTCAGGCCAGAACTGAGTCTCCACTCCCCAATTTAGTTCCCAGAGATGAAGCCCAATTTTCCTCTGTCTCAAGCTTTGAAGGCCAGCTTTAGCGTGTTCACCATGGATGAATGAAGGTGAGGTCAGAGGTTTGGGAAATGGTCAAGAATGAGGTGAGAAGAGAGCTGTGGAGGCATGGCCCCGGGGAGCTTGGTACCCCCCCATATCCAGAGCCTGTCTGGTCCAGGAGAGTTCCCAACCCTGTGAGCACCAACTCCGGATATTCTGGGCAGTGACCCGAGGGACAGCCTCTTATGAATACAGGCTGTTTTCCTCCAGTGTCTGCTGTGAAACCAGGATGTACAACATGGCCGTGTTCAACCCAACAATGGACTTAGGATTTTGCTGTACGCCAAAACTCAGTGTCCAACTTCCACTCTGTTTAGCTGGAAAAAGAAGGGGTTTGTTCCCATACATCTCACTCCTGTGTTCCTCTTTCAGTCTCAAAGCTCAGATGAAAACAATGAGTGTCACTTATTGTCAATCCTCTTCCCTGCCTTTTCCACACTCATCAGTATTACCGTTTACATTGAGACTAAAGATGGCCAATCACCACTTTTCTTCGGAAAAATCAACCTGATGTTGTACCTACTTTTTTAGAGGTGGAATCAACCTACCCTAAGATGCCAACTACATTTTACTGAATGGACTTTTGTGGATCCCCTCGATGTATATAGTGGCACCTTGAGGTATCATCCCTGTCTTTAGCAAATGAATATTATCCCAAGGACAATATTTCATCACAATTATTCGGGATGGACGAGTGGATATTGTGGTAGCAAGAACATTACTAAAAGTCACAGCTGATACAACACACTTGAAACCCATCTGGCCAATCTCCCACAGACAGAATGTCGCGCCATTCACTCCAGCCAGCTTCAGTCATGTTTCTTCCATTTCCACCTGTGGCCCCTCATGTCTCCACCAGGTCTTAGCCAGCATTGCCAAAAGAGCCAGGAAGACCAGACCAGCCACAACAATCCTGATGGAACTCTCCACAGTATAGTTCTGGAGAACAGGGGCTGGAGGGTGGGGGTAAGATCAGAGACCTTTCCATGTGGGCCAGGCCCCTCTCTCCCCAGAAGCTCTGAAATGGAGCTATTTCCCCATCTCACCTTCATAAAATTCTTCCTGTCCAGAACCCCTCTTCTCCCTATATCATCATGAGCACCTTCAGAAGTCTTTTGCCACAAAAAGAAATTTCTTTTGAAGATATACATTTTTTTGTACATTTCAAAAATGTTCCCAAACTAATTCTCCAAAGCAATAAATGTTTGTGTGTATTGCTGGGTAGGTTATGCATACAAGGAAAGGAAGCATAGTGAGTCTGATTTGGCAGAGGAAACATATGTGGAAATTATATCATTTACTCTCTTTACAAAATTAAGTACAAAATTGAAAACACTGGTAAGAAAGAATGAGCTATAGAGAAAGAAAACATCTGAGATGCTTGTTTCCAAGATGGCTGACTAAATGCTTTTCTGGCATGTCTCATCCACTTAGAAGAACGAGCAGAATCCAGAACAAAAACCATATGATCATCTCAATAGACATAAAGAAAAGCATCTGAAAAGAAATTCAACATCCTTACCTGATGAAAACCCTCAAAAACTTAGGCATAGAAAGAACATACCTCAAAATAATAAAAGCCATAGATGACATATCTAGAGTCAACATCATACTGAACAGGAAAAGTTAAAAGCACTCCTCTGAGAACTGGCACAAGACAAGGACACGGACATCCACCACTTCCTATCAACATAGTACTGGAAGCCTTGTCAGAGCTATTGGGCAACAGGAAGAAGTAAAAATCCAAATTAGAAAAGAGGAAGTAAAATTATTTTTATTTCTGATGCTATGATCTTAAATCTAGAAAATCCTAAAGACCCTGCCAAAAATTCTTATGATTGATAAATGAACTAAGTAAAGTTTCAGAATACAAAATCAATATGTAAAAGCCGGTAGCATTTCTCTACACCTATAATGATCTAGCTGAGAACCAAATCAAGAAGGCAATGCCGTTTACAATAGATACGCAAAATTAAAACACTCAGGAATACATTTAACCAAGGTGGTGAAAGATCTGTACCAGGAAAGGTGTAAGACACCAATGAAAGCAATTATAGATAATACAAAAAAAAAAAAGAAAAAAAATCCCACGCTCATGGATCATAAGAATTAATATTGTTAAAATGACCATACTGCCTAAAGCAATCTACAGATTCAGTGCAATTCTTATATGAAAATAGTAACACCAGTTTTCACAGAATTAGAAAAAGCAATCCTAAAATTCATACAGAACCAAAAAAGATCCTAATAGAGAAAGCAATTCTAGGTGAATGTAGAAACCTGGAGGCATCACGCTATCTGACTTCAAACTATGCTCTAAGGCTATAGTAACTTAAATAGCACAGTGCTGGTATAGACACAGAAACAGAGATCAATAGACCAGAATAGAGAGCCCAGAAATACAGCCTCATATCTACAGTGAATAATCATTGACGACGTTAACAAAACATACCCTGGAGAAAGATTTCCTTTTCAATAAAAGGTGCTGGGAAAACTAAATAGCCATATGCAGAAGAATAAAACTGGACCTGTATCTGTAATCATACACATAAATTAACTTAAGGTAATTAGCAGCTTAAATGTAAATCCAGAACTATAAAATCACCGGTGGAAACCCAAAGAGAAACTCTTCTGGGCATTGGTCTGGGCAAAGAATTCATCACTAAGACCTCAAAAGCACAGGCAATAAAAATAAAACTAGACCAATGGGACTTAATAAACGAAAGAGCTTCTGCCAAGCAAAGGAAATAGTAGCAGGGTGAACAGACAACCCACAGAATGAATGGAAATGTTTGCAAACTATGCACCCAACAGGGGACTAACATCCAGAATTTCTAGGCAACTCAAACAACTAAACATAACCCCTCAAATAATAGCATTAAAAAGTGGGCAAAGGGATATACATAGACATTTTTCAAAAGAAGACATACGAATGGCCAAACAGCGTATGAACATCACTAATCATCAGAGAAATGCAAATTGAAACCACAATGAGATATCATCTTACAGTAGTCAGAATGGCTATTACTAAAAATGCTGGTGGGGAGTGGTGGCTCACGCTTGTAATCCCAGCACTTTGGGAAGCTGAGGCGGGTGGATCATGAGGTCAGGAGTTTGAGACCAGCCTGACCAACATAGTGAAACCCCATCTCTACTAAATATACAAAAGATTAGCTGGGCATGGTGGTGTGGTTCTGTAATCCCAGCTACTCAGGAGGTTGAGGCAGGAGAATCATTTGAACCTGGTTGGTGGAGGTTGCAGCGCGTGGAGATGGCGGCACTGCACTCCAGCCTGGGTGACAGTGGAAGACTCCATCTCAAAAAGAAAAAAAGAAAAAGTGAAACATATAACAGGTGTTGGCAAGGATGCAGAGAAAAGGAAACTCTTATACACTGTTGGCCGGTATGTAAATTAGTATAGCCTCTATGGAAGACAGTATGGAAATTTGGCAGAGAACCAAAAATAGAAGCACCATTCGATCTAGGGGTCCCGCTGCTGGGTATCTACTCAAAAAATATCTGCACCTGTATGTTTATTGCAGCACTGTTTGCAATAGCAAAGATATGAAATCAATCTAAGTGTCTGTGAATGAATGATTGGATTAAAAAAAGGATGCGTGTATACACAACGAAATACTATTTGGTCATAAAAATAAAACCATGTCTTTTGCAGCAACATAGATGGAGCTGGACGCCATTATTTTACATAAAACCACTCAGAAAGACAAATACCACATCTTCTCACTCTACATGGGAGGGGAGTAATGTGTACATATGGACGTAGAGTGTGGAATGACGGACAGCGGAGGCTAGAAGGCTGGAGGGTGGCGGGACGTGGGTGAGTGATGAGAATTTGCTTAATGAGTACAATGTACGGTATTTGGGTGATGGATATAGTAAAAGTCCTGACTTCACTACTCTGCAACATACTCATGTCACAAAATTACAAGTGTACCTCATAAATTTATACTAATAGAAAAGAAAGTCTGTACACAGTAATCAATTGTGATATGTAGATAAAGTCAATATTAAATTTAAACCAGAATAACTAGTTAAAATGTTGTGTACACAACAGTGAAGAGAGTATTTATCCTCTATGACAGAGGAAACCATCAATATTAATGCACAGAAAAAGCAAATAACTGAAACAAGAAAGAGCAGTTTTGTGACAGGGTAAAAATTGACAACAGTTTTAGAATGCTCCTAACTTGAGTTCCAAAAAGAAAGAACGAGAAAACAGGTCAGAAGCAATCTTTAAAGAGGCAATTGTTGATTATTTGGAGGAAGTAGACACATCCATCAATCCACAGGTTCAAGAAATCCAGTGAATGCCAGGCAGAATGAAGTAAACACACCTCACGTTCAACATTACAGAAAAGCAGCATAAAAGCACAACCAACCCTTAAAATTAGCCAGAGGAAAAGGATCAGCTGGTAAGGATTTATAGGGAGCCAAGCATTGTCTTCCCCACAGAAAAAAGGAAAACATAAGCCAGTAGAATAGCATCTTTACCCAGCTAAGATACCGTCGCCAGCCACCGACAATTCCTTACATAGTACAGTTACTGTCCAAGATCAACGCAGGAAAGAAACAGAACTGAAAGACAAAAGGGCAAAGAAAGCTTTTCTCACTGACCCTAAAGGAAATTCTGATGACCGTGCCTCAAAGATAAAGAAAGTGAAACCAGATGGGGTGTCGAAGATTCTGACAATAACTAAGAGCAGAGGAAGAACTAAAAATATGGCTATGCCAAAAATGAATATGGACCATACGATAGTGTATGAAAACATGCCCCTGTGTAATTTCTGAAAAAGATAGAATTATGTATACCACAAAACAAAACATCATATAAGTAAATACAAACATATGTACTAAATATGCTCTAAAATCCTGTTCTTACACAGGAAGAGTGGAAATATGTTTTTATATTTGCAGTTTAATCTCTGAAATGATTAATTTCAATTTTAAAAATATGTAACAACTTCAGGATGAGTACACCATATATGTATTCCTAAACGACATAGATCAAAAATAGAATGTTTGAAATAGAAAACCACAGAAGTCAGTGGGAAAAAAAGGGAATCAGGAAAACACAACGTAATAATAACAAAAATATGATTGGAAGAACTGCTCAAACATGAACAAAAGATTGTCAGAAAGTCTTACTTTCTAAGGCGAATTGTTTGAAATTTACAAAGGACACATCTCAATGTTAACAATTCATGGAGTTTGAAATTAAACAATGTAGAAATATACCAAGCAATCACTGTTAGAAATGTGGTATAACTATATTAAAATTAGACAAAATTAGTCTTTGGGAAAAATCAGCGGAAAACATTAAGCATAAAATGTAGGAAAAAAGCAGGTAAATTTATAGCATTTTAAATTTACCAGGAATATATAATCAGTTTACACTTAACCACTCCCAGTAATATTCCTGCAAATATACATGGAGGAAGAGTCGCGGAAATAAATGGACAGGTAGGCAAATCCACGGCCACAGTGGGGTGTTTAACACTCCTCTTTTCTCAGTTGTTGATAGAAGTGGTTCAGGCAATTAGAGAGGATTTAGAAAGATAATTGCTGGACCTGACCCAAGGTATAAGTCCACTCCCAACCACAGGACTCACTTTCCTTACAAGCACAAGGGCATTTAGAAATCTCTCTGGATTCTGACCAGCCCTCACCATATGGCAGGTCCATGGACTTCTTGGAACACACCAAGCTCATTCTCACATTAGGGTCATCCCCAATGTCCTAAGTCCATGAAAGTTCCTTTCAACACACTCCCCAGGGCTCACTCCCTCTTGTCTCTAAGATCGGAGTTTAAATGTGATCTCTCTGATGAGGTCTCAGTGAGACGTTCCCTCCTGTACACTCCAAATGACAACGTTCCACGTTCATTCATTTCATTCTGTGCATGGCACTTTCACCAAGTGCTAAGGATTCACTCACTAATTCATACATTCATTCATTCATTCATTCACTCATTCCATCATTCACTCATTCATTCATTCTCTCATTCATTCATTCATGTTCTGCCTCTCTCTCCCACCCCACAGCAATGTGAGCATCATGAACCCAGGAGCTTGGCCGTGCTGTCTACTCCTGGCCATGAAACAGAGAGAACTGATGGTAGGTGTGAAATAAATATTAGATGAATGAGTTAGTGAAGGGGTCATTTACTGGGTGAGCTCAGTTCTCTCTACTCTAATGCCCTCCCTCGGCTGACTTCCCTGAGTTGCCCCCTCGGCTGAGTGAAGTCCCTTCACTGGCAAATGGAACCTCAACCAGTAGCACCTAGGTGGTCTCATACTTTGTTCTTTCCCTCTCCTCTTGCTCCCTAAGGATTATCAATCTCCATGACAGGGCTGGAGAGCAGACAAGCCACACATTCTTTCTGGGGAGAGAGTAACATGGAGTACAAGGCATTCCACATTTAGGAAGAGAACTCAGTTATGGAAGGTCAGAAATGAAAAGTTCCTACAGACCAACACCCAGGTTGGTGGCCACAGCCCTAAATGCTGATGGAGAATCACTGCAAGTCTGTAGGGAAGATGTCTGGCTTGAGGCCACTGAGCGAAGTGGCAGATCCTTCTCAGCCTTCAGTGCTGAGCCTCTGTCCCCTCAGGGATCCACTGACCAATGAGAAGAGCCTCTTCTCATCTCCTGGGATGGAGCTTGGGGCCCCTGGCGAAGGAATGGGCCTGTTTCCACCTGTCATGTTGTCATCTAGCTTGGAAATCCTGCGAGTCCCAGGGAGGCCCTCCCCGAGTCCCCAGAGAAGACTCCCCCACTGAGTCTCCAAGGTGTGGAGAGAGCAAAAAACATCTAGGGTGGAAAATGCCTCCCATCAAGAGACATTGGGGCTCCCCCAACGATGGTTGCATCTGTGCCCCCCATGTGGAAATCACTCTTTGGTGAGAGGTGGGGGCTTCTGGAAATGGGCAATGGCGGGCGGCCAATGCTACCTCTAGTCTTTCCAATCTGAGCCCGGCCTTTCATGCTCCTGAGTCAGCATTGATGCTGTTTACATGTGTCCCAGGTGGGCTTCTGTACAAAGACTGGGAAGTGGTTTATGTGGCCTGTGCTCTATCTGCAAGCTTCAGGTAGGGTTGCAGTTACCACCCCAAACCCTAATGTGATCTGTCTGCCTCGCTCTGTCTGTCTGTCTATGCCTCTTTCTGTATGTTTGCTTTGTGTCTCTTCTGTCCAGCATCTCTGGCTGACACCCCCATGGCCACCCCCTCCATCTGAGGCTCCCCTGAATGTGGCCATTGTAGTCCATCTGAGTCCCACTATTTGGGGAACAGACTGGTTTCCTCACCTGTGACAGAAACAAGCAGTGGGTCACTAAGGTCTGACCACTCGTAGGGAGAGTCACGGAAAGAGCCGAAGCATCTGTAGGTCCCTCCGTGGGTGGCAGGGCCCAGAGGAAAGTTGGCCTGGAAGGTTCCATTGACCTTGGGCACTGCAGGGAACCTAAGTTCATGAGCCTCCCCCTCCCTTGATAGATGGTAGATGTCATAGGAGCTCCGGGAGCTGCAGGACAAGGTCACGCTCTCTCCTGCCTTAACCATGGGGCGCGGCTGGGCTGAGAGAGAAGGTTTCCCACATAGACCTGGAAGGAGAAGAGGCAGTTTCCTCAGGGAGGTTCTTCCTTGTCACAACTCCCCTCCCACCTGAGCTGAGAACTCACTCCCCTGCTCTATGGCCTAATGCTCTCTCTCTCTGTCTCACCCTCCACACCATCTCTCTTTATGTCTATTTCCTCTTTCCACCTTCTCTGTCTCTCTAGGTCTCTGACCTCACTTTCTCACCTCTAGATATGTTTTCCCTTTTTGGATTGTTTTATTCTCTCTGACTCTCCTTGGACTAGTTGACTTGATGTTACTTTTTTTAAATTCTGAGTTTCTCACTTTGTGTCCTGTTCATAACTTTCTGCATATTTCTATCTATTATCTATTGATATATCTATTTATCTATTTGGTGCCTATCTACAAATTCTCTACCTGTCATCTATATCTATATATAATCTATTTATCTATCAATTGTCTATCCAAAAATCATCTATTATCTATATCTATGTATCGTCTCTCTCTCTCTATGATTTCTCTTTGTCTGCCTCTCTATCTCTATGTATTATCTATCTTCATCTTCATCATCTCTATGTATCATCGATTAATCAATGAATGAATCAATCATCATCTATGTATCTATAACCTATTATCTATCATCTACCTATTTATCATCTATCTATATCTATCCATCTATCATCTGTCTTGCTCTGCCTCTCGGTCTCTCTAGTTCTCTTTGGAATCTCTGCAATTCATCCCCACATCTCCATCTTTCTATGTCCTTGTGTCTCTCCCTCAGGACTCTAATTTTAGTGCTTTTCTCTGTTCCCTTCCATTGTTCTCTCCACTTCTCTGCCCTCTTTTCTCCCTCTTTATGTGTCTGTGAGTCTCTCAATCTCCTTCCTCTGGCTCATTCTCTGTGTGTTTATGTCTTTGCTTTTTGGTGTCCCTGATTTCTCTCTGTGTCTCTCAGTGATCCTCTCATATGTGGGGTTATTTGGAATGTGAGCCTCAGAATCCAGTCTGGGGACCGCAAGTTCACACAGTATACAGGGGTTGATGTTCTGGGGCCATGATATCCTGGGACGATTACTCTCCATTGCATGGAAGGCAGAGGTGTCAGAATAAACACGGCATCTGTAGGTGCCAGAAGGCCTGAGGCCACAGGGCCCAACTCAGGCCAGAAATATGGGTGTCCTTGGGTTCTTCTGGTAGAGAACACTTTGTGGAAGTAAAACAGAAATGAAACTTCTAACCTGTGCCAGGTCTCTGAGCAAAGTCAGCATGGAAGGACACCTCTCTCTGGCACATGTCTGTCTGTGTCTCCTTTAACTCTTTCTGTCTTTTCTAACTCCCTGTATGGCCCCTGTGTCTGTCCTCTGTTATGACACCTGGTCTGTACTTGTGTCTCCTGTTTCTCTGTCTCTGTTGGTACAGACCTCACCAAGTTAGTCTCTCTCCATAAGAATACCAAGCTCATCTTCCTTATAACCACCTGGGCCTCCAAGTCGTGGATCATTCACTCTGTGTCCCAGTGACAATGAGAATAATGTCCAGACACTCTCACCTGTAATCACGATGTCCAGAGGGTCACTGGGAGCTGACAACTGATAGGGGGAATGAGGAACAGAACCGTAGCATCTGTAGGTCCCTGCAAGGTCTTGCGTCATGCGACCGATGGAGAAGTTGGCCTTGGAGACCCCATCATGGAGCTCTCCAGTGAGGCGCAAAGTGTCATTAAACTTCCCCTCTCTGTGCAGAAGGAAGTGCTCAAACATGACATCTGACCAACATTGCAGGATGACTGTCTCTTCTGATTTCACCAGGGGACCTGGGTGGGCCAGGAGGGAAGGTTTTCTGTGGACTCCTAGGAAGAGAAGTTGTGACTTTAGAAGGCATCTCTCTTTATCATCCCATCCATGGCACCTAGAATGAGTGAGGCTTCCCCTCGCTGGTGTCTTATCTCTCTCCTTCCTCTCTGTGTCTTCATGTTCTTTTCTGTGCCCATAACTCCTGGTACAGGTCCTTCCATCTGTCTCCCTCCCTCTTCTCTGTCCCTCTGTCTCTAGTAGCTCCTGATTCCCTTGACGCTGGGCTCAGCCTCATCTCTTGGGCTGTTGTATCTATTTCGAACTAATGTCTTTCCTGCTTCTATGTGGGGGTGGAAGAGGAACCAGGATAGGCTGCACGTCCAGGCTCTTAGCAGACTGGTTCAATCTCTTTTGGACGAATTGGAATCCTTGGCAGAAGGTATGAACTGATCAGTAAGGCAGGCACCAGTGTCCACACACCCTGTTCCTGGTGGGGACTGGGAGCCACTCTTGCCATGCCTGTGCCTTCTCCATGGTGCCAGCTTCCATAGGCTGGCTTCTGGTGCTGGTTTGAGGAGTATCAACCCCTCCCTATGTGGATGGAGCCTGGTGGTGGCATCATCATCCCACCCTTGCTGATCTCGGTGTAGCCAACCTTCTCTTTGTTTGGTTTCTTTAATTAATTAATTAATTTTGGAGTCAGAGTCTCACTCCTTCACCCAGGCTGGAGTGAAGTGGTGTGGTCTAGGCTCACTGCAACCTCTGTCTCCTGGGTTCAAGTGATTCTCCTGCCCTCAACCTCCTGAGTTGCTAGGATTACATGCACCTGCCACCACGCCCGGCTATCCTTGTGTCCTTTCTTATCTTGTCCTTGACCTGGGTTCCAGTGTTGGTTTCCTGTTGGTGCTGTAGAAAATTATCAGAAGCATGGCAGCAGGAGAGAGCACACTGACCCCTTCCGTTTCTGGAGACAGAAATCGGACCCTGTTTTTTGAGGGCTAAAATCAAGGCATCTGCAGGGCTGCGTTCCCTCTGGAGACCCAGGAGAATCAGTTCCTTGACTTTTCCAGCCTCTATAGGCCACCTGCATTCATGGCTCATGGCCTTCCTCCACCTTCAAAGCTGATGGAGACTTCCATTGCACTGCTCTAATCGCCACTCCCCTCTTCCTTCTCCTCTCATGTGCACCCTTGTGATTACACTGAGCCCAGCAGGACAGTCCAGGCTGTCTCCCCATCTCAAGGTCAACTCAACAACCTGAGCTCCATCTTCCCCTTCAGTGCCTTCCCCTATAACATAAATAGTCACAGACTGCAGGGATTAGAATGCAGTCATCATTGGGGACAATTATTCTTTCCACCACAGCACCCATTTCCCTGTATTCAATCCCCTTTTATCCCAAATACAGTTAGGGTCTGGATGATGGGACGCTGGTGGACACTCCCACCAGAAGCTCTGGGACTCAGGAGGTGGGACAAGGAGAATCCCAGACAGGAGCCCTCTGACCTGTGACCATGATCACCAGGGGGTTGCTGGGTGCTGACCACCCAGTGAGGAAGTGTGGGTGTGAACCCCGACATCTGTAGGTCCCTGCATGTGCTGGGGTCACAGGGCCTATGAAAACGGTGTTTCGGAATACTCTGTTGTAGAGCTCAGGGACAGGCATCCCGTCTTCTTTGGACAGACTGAATTCGTTAAACCCAAGACGAGAGCGACACTGAAGAGCCACATGTTCTCCTTCAGACACCACGGGGCTGGGCCAGGCAGAGAGGAAGGGCTTGTCCTGACCACCTGGGGGAGAAGGAGGCGCCACCTTAGAGAGGAGGATGTGGCACTCCCTCCCTCTATTCCTTTCCAGGACTCACCAACACACGCCATGCTGACGACCATGAGCGACATGGTGCTGCCGGTGCAGACAGGCGGCCGCGCCCCAGCTCAGCTCAGCAGCGCACAGGATGTTATTTGGCGCCCTGCCCATGCAGCTTACATGTTGACTACATCATGGGAGGGTGACGTACGCAGGCTCTTTCTACCTTGCATGAGGCCCAGTGGATGCTTGCTCAAGAGCGGAACACGGCTTCCTGGAAATTGTTCTCACTAGAATTGGCACCTCACGTCCTTCACTATGACCAACTCACAACACGTCTCAGATCCAACCTCCCGAACACAAGATGCCTAAAATCTGTGCTAACGTGAAAGACTTTTCATGTATTTTTATCCGAACACGAGATGCCTAAAATCTGTGCTAACATGAAAGACTTTTCATGTATTTTTTTTGTTTTTATCTGAGATTCAAACTCTTCTTCCTGTGTAATATGCAAAGTATCTAATAGGTATTATTAATGTTTTCGGAGTCATTGTGACTAATAAACCATTAGAATTTTTCATGCTTGTATTTCTAGTATTACAGCAGAACCAGCTAAAATGATTTAAATTCCCAGGGAAGGATTATGCAATTATTTACAATCTTCGAATTGTACTTTATCAGCAAAAACCACACCTGTAAATTCTGGAGTTTTGTAGTTTAATCTAAAATTTGTCTCATGACCCAAGATTCCAGAGTCCCAACTCTGGAGTTTGCTCTCTGTCTGTCTCTCTCCCTCCCTCGTTTTAAATTTTACAGAAATATCCAGTAACATAATGCTATAGAAAATCAAGTTTTCCCCAGCACGTTGGGAAGCCGAGGTGGGCAGATCAACTGAGATAAGGAGTTTGAGAGCAGCCTGGCCAATATAGTGAAACCGTGTCTCTGTTAAAAATCCAAAAATTAGCCGTGCCTGGTGGCAGGCACCTGTAACGCCAGCTACTCAAGAGGCTGAGGCACGAGAATCGCTTGAACCTGGGAGGCGGAGGTTGCAGTGAGCTGAGATTGTGTCACTGCAGTCCAGCCTGGGCGACAGAGCAAGACTCCGCCTCAAGAAAAAAAAAGCAAACAGCCTATAATAACAAATTAGAGGGCTCTGGCTACTAAATTTAAAGGGTTCTATAAGGCTACATAAAGTGCAGCATCATCAAGAGTGTGGACACAGAGAGCCCCTTAGCAGAAACAGTGTCTAAAATACATCCATGTACACACAGTCCCTTTAGAGTTGACAAAGGCTGCCGTGTGGTTTAAGGTGGCATAGAATGTCTTCTCAATAAATAATATTAAACCAATTGGTTACACCTAGGAAAAAATAAATCTAACTCACACTATAAAAACACTTCTTAGTTTTTATCTAGTTGTACATTTTTTATGATTTATATTTAAATTTGAGAAATAAAAGTCATATACGGTCATCCTTCACTATTCGTGGGTGATTGGTTTTGAGATCTCCACTCAGATACCAAAATCTGTAGATGCTCAAGCCTCTTATATGAAATGGCACAGCGTTTGCAAATAACCTATGCACATCCTCCTGTATACATGAAATCATCTCTAGATTACTTATAATTCCTGATACAGCCTACACACAGCTTCATTTGTGTCCATTCAACATAGTTATGCTTTTTGAAACTCTGTGGATACTTTCTCTCAATATTTTTGATTTATACTTGGTTCAATAAACACCTGTAAACCCCGCAGATATGGAGGAGTGACCGTATATTTATATTATGAAAGATGATGTGTTGATATGTGTCCCCATGGAGATGAGACTAACAAGGCCTATGATTCTACAAATGTTTCATTGTGGAATGACTCTGCCAGCTTTCCAGGTCTGCAGAGAGTAAGAGTATCACTTGTTCATATGATTCGTGATCCTTGGAACCTCCTATGTGCTACATCTTTGGATGGAAATTGGAGTCCCAGAGACAAATGAGGCTCCACCCTGCTTCCAGAAACTCAGAGTCCGGGGATGAGAACTCAGTGGGGAACAGATGGGATTATATGGACATGGTACTGATAACACCGGAAGCCTTAGGCAAGAAAAGAGTCCCATTACCGAAACCATGGGGGCAGACATGTTTATTTGAAGGATGGAAAACTACATTGAAGTTATTTTAAAAAATATATAAGTTTTACTGCTGACAGAAGACTGAAAGCTAGTCTGAGGGGAGGTGGAACAGCATGAGGGAAGGTGGAACAACACGTGTCTAAGTGCTGCGTTAAGAGGGAGCCTCTTGTATGTTTGGAATTGTGAGTTCCTCAGTGTGATTGCAGCCTCAAGTAGACTAGGAAGTAAGCCAGTTAGGTTGGAGAGGTGGGCAGGGGTCAAGTGAAATGGAGAACTGTGGGCTAAGCAAAGGAGTGTGTTTTTTCTCCAGCAGGCAGTGGGGACCTTAGACATTTGTAAGCAAGTGAGAGGCACATTCAGATTTGTGGTGTGAGGAAGAGCGATGCCCTAAGATGCAGACTCATGCCTTCAGATTCCAGCTGCTGGTACATGGGAGCTGGCAACCCGGTTTTGAGACAGGGCTGTTGTCTCCCTAGAAGACGCCCTCAAGGCCTGACTGTGGTGCTCATGGGCAGGAGACAACTTTGGATCTGGACTCAGCATTTGGAAGTTCCGTGTACACGATGATATCTGTTGGGGGTGTCTTGGGCCTCTGAGAAGGGCGAGTGATTTTTCTCTGTGTGAAAACGCAGTGATTCAACTGTGTGTATGTCACCTCCTGAGGGTCTTGTTCATCAGAGTCCTGGAGAGAGGGAAATGCTGAGTGAGGGAGGGTGCTCACATTTTCCAGGACTCTTTGGGAATAACAGTAGCCACGAGCCCGGGCCGAGGAGTACCTACCTCGCTATTCGCTGTTCTGTTTCCTGCAGACTCTTGGTCCATTACCGCAGCATCTGTAGAAGACGGAAGTCAACAAAACAGCTCGGAGGGCACTTCTGGGTCCTCATTTCATAAGCAGATACCAACATACAGGGGGAGACCATAGGTGGCTGAGGTCCCTCAGTTGCCAACAGCAGACTCAGACATTCTATCTCTCTGAGCTCAAGGACCCATCCCATGAATAGCTCTGAGTTCCCATCCCATTGATTCTGTCTCCCACTTTCTGCCTGTCATGGAACCTTCTCCTGGATGTGAGTGGCTGCAGTGGACATGAGGATACAGTTCAGAATCAGGCAACGGTCTGTGAGTTGAAGGCAGGGACAGGGAGTCTGGTGCCCTCTCTAGAAAGTCCTGCCTCTGTGGCTGCTGCCTTGGGCCAGGGACCATCCTGTTTGTGAGGAACACACACCTGAGTGCTCCCATCCTGCTTCCCCACATGGCCCTGAGCTCTCTGGCCTCTGCTTCGTGAGACTTACTTTTTTTGTTGGAGCACCAGCAATGAAGGAGAAAGAAGAGGAGGATGAAGAGGATGATGACCACTGAGGTCCCAATCAGAATGTGCAGGTGTCGGGGGTTACCTGGAAGAAGATGAGACACCAATAAGAAGCTAATCTTAGCAGTTCCTCTTTATGAATTGTCTCGCATTTCTTGATTGACAGGTAACCACATAAAACACCTCTTTAGGACAAGCACCCAGATAGCAGGAGACCCAGCTTTCTCCTGCTTTTTCAGTTATAGCTCTCATAGTAACCATAGAACGTGCTGAGGATACGACTACTTTAGTTGAGATGTTTGACCCCTTCAAACCTCACATTGAAATTTCACCCCCACTGTGGGAGGTTGGGCCTCTTGAGAGGTGTTTGGGTCATGGAGGTGGATCCATCATGAACACATCAATGCTGTCCCAAGGAGACGGGGTTAGCAAGTTCCCCCTCTATTAGTTCCCGGAGAGCTGGTTGTTAAAAAGAGCTTGGAAGCTCCATCACTCCCCCTCCCCCTTGCTCCCTCTCTTGCCGTGTGATCTCTGTGGTCTCTGCACAGACAGACCCTCCTTCCCTTCTGCCAGAGTGGGAGCAGCCTGAGGCCGTCACGAGAAATAGATGCTGGTGCCATGCTTCCAGTACAGCCTGCAGAACGGTGAGACAAACCAATCTCTTTTCTTTAGAAGTTACCGAGGCTCAAGTGTTCCTTTAGAGCAACAAAAATGGCCTAAGACAGCAACTTCCTGAGATCAGGAGGAACGTCTCAGAACAGCCTGGGCTGTCTTCCTGTTCTTCCTGGAGGAGGACGTCATGCAGTGCTTTAGCTGAGTGCTTCCTGTGGCTCCAGGGTACAAAACCCAGGCTGGGCTGCTTTCTGGCTTCCCGCAGCTACACTGCAAATGGGGTGACTCCATATGTCCCGAGGAGCTTTTCTGAGCCTTGAGGGACTGGGTCACATTGAAATATAGGTTTCTGTTGTCACTCGCTGCTTATCTGTTAGTAATGAACCTGCCTATGTAACGTATTCTCTGTGTGTTCTGTCTCCCTGGAGTGACGGTGAGTGATAGGAATTGGCATAGGCCCAGGTGCAGTCCAGGAGGTGTTTAGAGTCTTCTCTGGGAAGACTGGACTGGGATTGATTCACAGCGAATGTGCTTTAGGGTTTCTACATCCACAGCATTCTTGAATCAAACAACTTGCATTCTCCAAGGAAAGAAAACAAAAGTGAAATCAAGATAAAAAAAGCGAAATAGAATTCTCTTATGTCAAACGGCCAGGAAATAGTGTTGAAGCCCGTGTGAAACCTGCTGCTCTTTGTGATCTCGGGAGACACATATTAGGCTGCTGTTCTACCCGAGAGGCTGGGGGAAGGACCACCCCCTCGGCCATCTATTGCTTCAAAACCACCTGTCCTCCTGTGAATTAGTAGGAAAGGGGAGCAGGAGCTAGTGCTGTCGCTGATCTCTGATTCCAAGATCTGGACTCACTCCAAGGAGTGTTAATGTTTACCTCCCCATGGTCTATCTGAATCTCCACAGGTGATTGGAAGTAGGGGTGAGGTGGGGGATTTGGGTGAGTGGGCAAGTTTTTTTTGTGATGACCAGAGCACTTTCTCTATTCCAGGATCTGTGCTGGAGGATTCAGCGGGCTTTCACATTTTCTATGTGATCTCATGCTCACAGAAAGCCAAATAGGGAAGAGGTTTTAGGCTCATTGCCTAATGGATAAGATAAAGGATCAAAGAAGTAATTATAGAGAAATAGAAAAATCATGATTGGAATTCAGGTCCCTTTGTCATTTGCGTGTGTTATATTATATTTATATTTATGCATTTCTTATTTTTATTTTTTGAGACGGAGTCTCCTTGTGCCACCCAGGCTGGAGTGCAGTGATGCAACCTCCACTCACTGCAACCTCCACCTCCTGGGTTGAAGTCATTCTCCTGCTTCATCCTCCAGAGTAGGAGCTGGGATTACAGGGATGCACCACCATGCTCGGCTAATTTTTGTGTTTTTCCTAGAGACAGGGTTTCACCATGTTGGCCAGGCTGGTCTCGAACTGCTGACTTCATGTGATCCACCCGCCTTGGCCTCCTGCAGTGCTGGGTTACAGGCGTGAGCCACCGTTCACAGACTTGTATATTATGCTATAATAGGTCCCTTCATTTCCACCACCCCTCATATATCTGTCACTCCTTTGCCAGGTATTGATTTATGTGTAGGATGAATAAATCTCAGAAAGAAATTAATTAAGCGAGGATTAAACAAGTAGGAAAATCAAACCCAGTAAGCGTTTCCAGTCAATGATTCTACCTCACAAACATATCTTATATCCATCTACTTCATTCATTTAGTGTCTAAATCAGCACCACATTTCACCAGTGGGGCGGCAATTGCCTTTTCCACGGTCTCCTAGATTCCAGTTATGCAACTGAGCCTCCCTTATTTTCATGTCAGTCATATTAATCATGTAGGGATTCCTAGTTACCCCGAGGTGAATTCAATGGCTGTGAGTGTCAAACACACACTCCTTGTTGCTCCTTAGTTTCCTGTGTACCCAGTGTGCTCTCCGTCTCTCTACAGTCATCTTGTCATTCTCCCCACATCATTCCCAGCATTTGAGGCAGAGCCTCTTCCTTCCATATCAGATTGTTTTCACCTTTGTGCCTTCACGGCTGACAGCTGTGTGTGCAAAATCCTTCCGCCAATCTTTCAGGGGTTCAATCCGTGTTTTTCATTAATGTCACAAATATCTGAATAGTGAGACCTTCTTTGTCACCTGAAATCATACACTCAGCATTATCTATTATTGATTTTGAATTCTGGCTGGGCACAGTGGCTCACGCCTGTAGTCCCATTACTTTGGCATGCTGAGACGGTCGGATCACTTGAGGTTGGGAGTTTCAGACAAGCTTGGCCAACGTGGTGAAACATCCTCTCTACAAAAAATATACAAAAAGAATTAGCCGGGCACGGTGGCAGTTGCCTGTAATCCCAGCTACTCGAGAGGCGGAGGCAGGAGAATCACTTGAATCCAGGAGACGCAGGTTGCAGTGAGCCAAGATCGTGACACTGCACTGTAGCCTGGAAGACAGAGGGCGACTCTGTCTCAATAAACAAAAGAACAAACAAAAAATAGATTTCACGCACAGATGCTTCCCAATGGATCATTCATTTATAGATCCACTTGTGCATTCATTTTCTGCCCTCCCATTTAACCATCTGCAATATCAGTGTCCCAAGGGCAGAGGCCAAATGCATCTTGTTCACTGTTTGTGGAAGGCAGGAGAATGCTGTCCCACCCCAAAATGTCCCTGTCCTAGCCTCCATAGCTTGTGAATATGTTATTTTACATGGAAAGGAGGAATGAAGATTGCAGATGGAATTATGGTTACTAATCAGCTGAACTTAAAACAAGGGTATCCTGGATGATTTCCAGGAGATTATGAGGGATTTTCATCTTGGTGAACCCAATAGAATCCCCAAGTTTTCAAAAGATGAGGAAGAAGGGAGAGCAGCATTCAGAGAAAGAAGTGTGGTAAGGAAGAAGGCACTGAGTGATGCCATGTGAGATGTGACCAGTCTTTGTGGGCTTTGAGGAAGGAGGAAGGGGACCAGGAGCCAAGGAACTGGGAGCCTTTAGAAGCTGGGACAAGTGAGAAGCAGATTCGTGCCTGGAATCCTCAGAGGGAAGGCAGCCTTGCTGTCACCTTGATTTTAGCCCAGTAAGATGCACTTCCTACTTTGAGCTACAGCACTGTAAGATAATTAAAAAACCGTTTTGTTTTCACCCACGAATCTTGTGGAAATTTGTTATGGCAACAATAGGAAAAGGTTCCGCACTGCACAGCCTGAGCATGGGGCCGTGGCTGAATGAGTCAGTGAGTCGAAGTGTGCGTGCATGAGCTCTGTTCTCTGTTACGGCAAGGCTCTTGCTCTGCTGAGTCAGCCAGGGTTGCTTCATGACCTACAGGAGCTCATTCCTTGGCAAGTGGAACTTCTCTAAAACACCTCGCCCTCATCAGATGTTCCCTTCCCTTCCCTCTCTCAAGTCTCCAGGAATTTATCCTCCAGTTAGGAATGCAGGCAGAACAAACATTGCATTTTTCCTGAGAAGGATGTCAGATTGGCAATCATTCTTCTAGCTTGTAGGAGGTCTCAGCTCCATAAAATGAGAGATGAAGAGATTTCACTGAGCCCTGTGTTGGGCCCAGATCCCTTTCGCTGTAGGAGTATCTGGAGTTCGGAGATGGTGGAAGACAGGTGTACAATGTCAGAGCTGTGAGATGCTGAGTCAACGCCTGAATCCAAGGTTTCCACCTCCCCAGGTTTCCAAAAGCGGATATAAGAGGGTTCTGTACTCACCGGTTTCGGAGCTTGGTTCAGTGGGTGAAGGCCAACTATTTGAAGGGTTTCCTAGAACATGAGACAGGAGAGAGGTGAGGAAATGAGGGTTTCTGTCCTCCACTCAGTGGAAATCTTTGAGGATGGTTCATGGCCAACACTCTGTTATCTAATATTGGGCCCTGGGAGTCCTGGGATCCTTTTTTCCATAATTTTTTTATGTGACACCCACTGTCTTGAGACTTCAAGGTATAAAGAGAAAACAGGAGCATCACACTACCTGATCTCAAAATATGTTACAGAGCTGTAGTAAGCAAAATAGCATGACATTGGCATAAAGAAAGGCACATAGAACAACGGAGCAGAATGAATAACACAGATATATTCCATGCATTTACATCCAATGGTTTTTTATTTTTTCTTTTGAGATGGAGTCTTGCTCTGTCACTCAGGCTGGAGTGCAAAGGTGCAATCTCGGTTCACTGCAACCTCAGCCTCCTGGGTTCAATCATTCTCTTGCCTCAAACTCCTGAGTAGTGGTATTACAGGTGCTGACCACCATGCTCAGCTAATTTTTATATTTTTAGTGGAGATGATGTTTCATCACGTCGGCCAGACTAATCTTGAACTCCTGGCCTCAGGTGATCCACCCACCTTGGGCTCCCAAAGTGCTGAAATTGCAGGTGTTAGCCACCAAGCCCAGCCCATCCAATGGACTTTGACAAAGATGCCAAGAACTCACAATCAGGAAAGGACAGTCTTTTCAATAAACAGTGCAGGGAAACCTGGACATCTACATGCAGAGGAATGAAACTGCACCTCTACCTGTCACCATACACAAAAATCAAATGAAAATGGATTAAAGATGTGAGTCTAAGGCCTGAACCTATGAAACACGTAGAACAAAATATTGGGGAAATGCTCCAGGACACTTGTCTGAAGAAAGACATTTTGTTTTAAACCTTGAAAACACAAGTAATCGAAGCAAAAATAGACCATTGGGATTACCTCATACTAAGCAACTTCTGCACCGCTAAAAATAAACCAACAAAGTGAAGAGACAACCCACAGATTGGGAGCAAATATGTGCAAACTATGCATCTGAGATGGGATTAATAACTAGAAATATAAGAAGCTCAAACAACTCAATAAAACAAATGATTTAATTGAAAAAGGAGCAAAAGACATGAAATTTCCCCACATACGAAAAACTGCTCAGTATCACTCATCATCAGAGAAACGCAAATTAAATTCAAAGTGAGTTTTCATCTCACCCCATTAAAATGGCTTTTAGGCCGGGTGAGGTGGCTCACGTTTGTCATCCTAGAACTTTGAGAGCCTGAGGTGGGTGAATCTCATAAGGTCGGGAGTTTGAGACCAGTATGACCCACATAGAGAAACGCTGTCTCTACTAAAAATACAAAAATTAGTCGGGCGTGGTGGCGTGTGCCTGTAATTCCAGCTACTCGGGAGGCTGAGGCAGGAGAATCGCTTGAACCTGGGAGGTGGAGGTTGTGGTGAGCCGAGATCGCGCCACTGCACTCCAGCCTGGGTGAGAAGAGCAAAACTCCATCTCAAAATAAAATGAAATAAAATAAAATGGCTTTTAGCTGCAAGACAGGCAAAAGAAATGCTGGCAAGGTGGTAGAGAAAGGAGAACCCTGGTACCCTGTTGGGAGGAGTGTAAATTAGTACAGCCATTACGGAGAAAAGTATGGAAGTCCTTTAAAGAACTAAAAAGAGGTTGGGTGCGGTGGATCATGCCTGTAATCCCGGCACTTTGGGAGACTGAGGCGGGCACCTCAGTTGAGGTCATGAGTTTGAGAGCAGCCCAGCCAACATGGGGAAACCCCATCTATACTAAAAAAACCAAAAAGTAGCCAGGGATGGTGGTGTGCACCTGTAATCCCAGCTACTAGGGAGGCTGAGGCAGGAAAATCATTTGAACCCAGGAGGCGTAGGTTGCAATGAGCCAAGGTCGCACCACTTTGACTCCAGCTTGGGCTAAGGAGGGAAACTCTTTCTCAAAAAAGAAAAAAAGAAAAAAAGAGAACTTTCATAGTATCCAGCAATTTCACTACTGGGTTTATATCCAAAGGAAAGTAAATCAATATATCGAAGTGATATCTGCACTCGTATGATTGGTGCAGCACTGTTCACAGTAGCCAAGATGAGGAGTCAACCTACCTGCCCATCAGTGGGTAAATGGATAGAGAGAATGTAGTACATACGCATAGTGGAGACTACTCATCCATAGAAAGAATAACATCCTGTCATTTGCAGCCACATGGATGGAACTGGAGGTCATTACAAAGATTCCCATTTCTCACCCATATACAGGAGCTAAAAGGTGGATCTCATGAAGGTAGAGAGTAGAATGGTGGCTACTGGAGGACAGGAAGAAAAGGGTGGAGGGTAAAAAAAATGTATATATATATATGTATATAAATGTATTTATGACCACTAGACTTTACACTTAAAAATGGTAAATGTGGCTGGGCGCGGTGGCCCATGCCTGTAATCCCAGCACTTTGGGAGGCAGATGCGGGTGGATCACTTGGTCAGGAGTTCGAGACCAGCTCGACCAACATGGTGAAACCACCTCCCTACTAAAAATACAAAAAGTAGCCTGGCGTGGTGGTGCGTGCCTGTAGCACCAGCTACTCAGGTGGCTGAGGCAGGAGAATCGCTTGAACCCAGGAGGTGGAGGTTGCAGTGAGCTGAGATTGTGCCACTGCACTCCAGCATAGGGGACACAGCTAGACTCCACCTCAAAAAAAAATGTTAAAAGTGGTAAGCTATATAGGTATATTTATCCTCAATAAATATTTCTTCAAAGAAAAGTAAAGGGTGTAGGGGTTGCTGGTGATGACATCTCTGTGTGGGTGAGAGGCCAGGATGGGCTTCTGGGAAATGGGTAAGGTTGAGGGGCTGAGGGAACCTCTGATCTCCCCAAACTGAGCCCAGTCTCCCTCCTCTGGGTCTCTCCTGACCGCTTTCTCCATCTGCCTGGGTGCCTGGAGCCCTGGCCGTGGGCCTCCATGCAGGCCATGTAGGAGGGTTTGGAGGTGCCCTGTCGGCCATCCTGTGCCCTGATCCCTCCCTCACACCGAGGCTGCGTCTTCTCTCTGCATCTGTCCATGCTTCTCTCCATCATCAGCAGGAAGCTCCTCAGCTAAGGCTCTAGGATCATAGGACATGGGACAGCCATGGGCTTTCCTCACCTGTGACAGAAACAAGCAGTGGGTCACTTGACTTTGACCACTCGTATGGAGAGTCACGGAAAGAGCCGAAGCATCTGTAGGTCCCTCCATGGGTGGCAGGGCCCAGAGGAAAGTTGGCCTGGAATGTTCCGTTGACCTTGGTCCCTGCAGGGAGCCTACGTTCATGGGCCTCCCCTTCCCTGGATAGATGGTACATGTCATAGGAGCTCCGGGAGCTGCAGGACAAGGTCACATTCTCTCCTGCCAGAACCGTGGGGCCCGGCTGGGCTGAGAGAGAAGGTTTCTCATATAGACCTGGAAGGAGAAGAGGCAGTTTCCTCAGGGAGGATCTTCCTTGTCACAGCTCCCTTCACCTGAGCTGAGAACTCACTCCCCTGTTCTATGACCTAATGCTCTCTCTCTCTCTCTCTCACCCTCTACCCCATCGCTCTTCATGTCTATTTCCTCCTTCCACCTTCTCTGTCTCTCTAGGTCTCTGACCTCACTTCCCCACCTCTAGATATGTTTTCTCTTTTTGGATTGTTTTATTCTCTCTGACTCTCCTTGGATTGGTTGACTTGATGTTACTTTTTTTAATTCTGAGTTTCTCACTTTGTGTCCTGTTCATAACTTTCTGCATATTTCTATCTATTATCTATCGATCTATCTATTTATCTATTCGGTGCCTATCTACAAATTCTCTACCTGTCATCTATATCTATATATCATCTATTTATCCATCAATTGTCTATCTATCCATCAATCATCTATTATCTATATCTATGTATCATCTCTCTCTCTCTATGATTTCTCTATGTCTGCCTCTGTATCTCTATGTATTATCTATCTATGTGTCTTCATCATCATCATCTCTATGTCTCATCTATTAATGAATCAATCAATCATCATCTATGTATCTATAACCTATTATCTATCATCTACCTATTTATCATCTATCTATATCTATCCATCTATCATCTGTCTTGCTCTGCCTCTCGGTCTCTCTAGTTCTCTTTGGAATCTCTGCAATTCATCCCCACATCTCCATCTTTCAATGTCCTTGTGCCTCTCCCTCAGGAGTCTAACTTTAGTGATTTTCTCTGCTCCCTTCCATCATTCTCACTTCTCTGCCCTCTTTTCTCTCTCTTTATGTGTCTGTGAGTCGCTCAATCTCCTTCCTCTGGCTCATTCTCTGTGTGTTTATGTCTTTGCTTTTTGGTGTCCCTGATTTCTCTCTGTGCCTCTCACTGATCCTCTCATAAGTGGGCTTATTTGGAATATGAGCCTCAGAATCCAGTCTGGAGACTACAAGTTCACACAGCATACAGGGGTTGGTGTTGTGGGGCCATGATATCCTGGGACGATTACTCTCCATTACATGGAAGGCAGAGGTGTCAGAATAAACATGGCATCTGTAGGTGCCACAAGGCCTGAGGCCACAGGGCCCAACTCAGGTCAGAAATATGGGTGTCCTTGGGTTCTCCTGGTAGAGAACACTTTGTGGAGGTAAAACAGAAATGAAACTTCTAACCTGTGCCAGGTCTCTGAGCAAAGTCAGCATGGAGGGACACCTCTCTCTGGGACATGTCTGTCTGTGTGTCTCCTTTAACTCTTTCTGTCTTTTCAAACTCCCGGTATGGCCCCTGTGTCTGTTCTCTGTTATGACACCTGGTCTCTACTTGTGTCTCCTGTTTCTCTGTCTCTGTTGGCACAGACCTCACCAAGTCAGTCTCTCTCCATAAGAATACCAAGCTCATCTTCCTTACAGCCACCTGGGCCTCCAAGTCCTGGATCATTCACTCTGCATCCCAATGACAATGAGAAGAAAGTCTGGACACTCTCACCTATGATCACGATGTCCAGAGGGTCACTGGGAGCTGACACCTGATAGGGGGAGTGAGTAACAGAACCGTAGCATCTGTAGGTCCCTGCCAGGTCTTGCGTCATGCGACTGATGGAGAAGTTGGCCTTGGAGACCCCATCATGGTGTTCTCCAATGAGGCGCAAAGTGTCGTTAAACATCCCCTCTCTGTGCAGAAGGAAGTGTTCAAACATGACATCTGACCAACATTGCAGGATGACTGTCTCTTCTGATTTCACCAGGCGACCTGGGTGGGCCAGGAGGGAAGGTTTTCTGTGGACTCCTAGGAAGAGAGGTTGTGAGTTTAGAAGGTGTCTCTCTTTATCATCCCATCCATGGCACCTGGATTGAGTGAGGCTTCCCCTTCCTGGTGTCTTATCTCTCTCCTTCCTCTCTGTGTCTTCATGTTCTTTTCTGTGCCCATAACTCCTGGTGCAGGTCCTTCCATCTGTCTCCCTCACTCTTCTCTGTCCCTCTGTCTCTAGTAGCCTCTGATTCCCTTGCCGCTGGGCTCAGCCTCATCTCTTGGGCTGTTGTATCTATTTCGAACTAATGTCTTTCCTGCTGTCTGTGTGGGGGTGGAAGAGGAACCAGGATAGGCTGCACATCCAGGCTCTTAGCAGCCTGGTTCAATCTCTTTTGGACGAATTGGAATCCTTGGCAGGAGGTATGAACTGATCAGTAAGGCAGGCACCAGTGGCCACACACCCTGTTCCTGGTAGGGACTGGGAGACACTCTTGCCATGCCAGTGCCAGCTTCCATAGCCTGGCTCCTGGTGCTGGTTGGAGGAGTATCAACCGCTCCCTATGTGGATGGAGCCTGGTGGTGGCATCATCATCCGAGCCTTGCTGATCTCAGTGTAGCCAACCTTCTCCTTGTTTGGTTTCTTTAATTAATTAATTAATTTTGGCGACAGAGTCTCACTCCTTTGCCCAGGCTGGAGTGAAGTGGTGTGGTCTAGGCTTACTGCAACCTCTGTCTCCTGGGTTCAAGTGATTCTCCTGCCCTCAGCCTCCCAAGTCGCTAGGATTACATGCACCTGCCACCATGCCTGGCTATCCTTGTGTTGTTTCTTAACCTGTCCTTGACCTGGGTTCCAGTGTTGGTTTCCTGTTGCTGCTGTAGAAAATTATCAGAAGCATGGCAGCAGGAGAGAGCACACTAACCCCTTCCAATTCTGGAGACAGAAATCGGACCCTGTTTGTCGTGGGTAAAATCAAGGTACCTGCAGGGCTTCGTTCCCTCTGGAGACTCAGGAGAATCAGTTCCTTGACTTTTCCAGCCTCTATAGGCCACCTGCATTCATGGCTCCTGGACTTCCTCCACCTTCAAAGCTGATGGAGACTCCCATTATGCTGCTGTAATCCCCACTCCCCTCTTCCTCCTCCTTTCATGTGGACCCCTGTGACTACACTGAGCCCATCAGGACAGTCCAGGCCTTCTCCCCATCTCAAGGTCAACTCATCAACAACCTGAGCTCCATCTTCTCCTTCAGTCCCTTCCCCTATATCATAAATAGTCACAGACTCCAGGGATTAGAATGTAGTCATCACTGGGGACAACACAGTGCTTCCCACCACAGCACCCATTTCCCTGTATTCAATCCCCCTTTACCCCAAATACAGTCAGGACTTGCATGATGGGACCCGCAAGGACACGCCCACCAGGAGCTCTGGGATTCAGGAGGTGGGACAAGGAGAATCCCAGACAGGAGCCCTCTGACCTGTGACCGTGATCTCCAGGGGGTTGCTGGGTGCCGACCACCCACTGGGGTAGTGTGGTTGTGAACCCCGACATGTATAGGTCCCTGCGTGTGCTGGGGTCACAGGGCCCATGAAAAGGCTGTTCCAGAATATTATGTTGTAGAGCTCAGGGACAGGCACCCCATCTTCCTTTTACAGACTGAAGTTGTTAAACCCAAGATAAGAATGACACTGAAGAATCACATGTCCTGGAGGCACCACAGGGCTTGGCCAGGCAGACAGCAAGGGCTTGTCCTGACCACCTTGGGGAGAAGGAGGCACCGCCTTAGAGAGGAGGATGTGGAGCCACCCCTCCCTCCCTGTGCTCTGAAGATTCTCCTCGCTTTCCAAGTTTCTATGGCTGCTATCACACCTTGGTGCCCAGGGCTAAAGGAAGGACCCATCCCGCAAACACAAGGTGTCTCCCTACAACAAAAGTGTCAGCTGAGAACTTTGAGCAAGTGCTGAGTAAGAGACTCCTACTAGATTTTAATACTGTAAGATTACTCACATAAAACAACACAGGGTAGACATGGGGTGGAGGGCATGTCCTTTGAGAATGGAATATCAGCTGATGCCTGAACGAAAATAAACAACTGAGTCCCCATCAGAGGATTGGAATGTCAGGGCCATGGCTGTGGTTTTCCCACCTCTTCTGGTAGAATGACAGCAGCCACACTGCAGCCCCTACCGTCATGGAAACGCTGAAGTGTGTGAGTAACACCTTTGTCCTCAGAGGATCTGCTGTTCCTACCACTTCCCCACCACACACCCCAGCTTTGAGCACCGTAGTCTAACCCTGGTCCCCACAGAACTTGACTCTGCCAAGGGAATGAAAGGCCAGGGAGGCAAGGTCAGAAATGTGGGCCCAGCACCCCAGGGTCCCTTCTTCCTAGTTTATGAGAGACTCCCTGACAGGACTTCCCTCCCATTTCAGGAAAATCCTCTTATGTGGGGAGATGACACCCGAAGGTTTGGAGAAGGACTCACCCTCATGTGGCCAGGCCCCCTGCAGCAAGAAGAACCCTGGAAAGAAAGATCATGATGGATGACCCATCTGCAGGCAAACCAGGGCACCCTTGCTGCCCCCACTGGGCTGTGAGTCTTGGTAGCCAGGCCCTTCCTGGGCTGAAGGTAAACTCACCCTCAGTGCCTACCTGCACCCAAGAACAGGGCTGTCGGCTGTGCAGAGACCCAGCCTCCAGGTCCATATCCCCACCTCAAGCCCATATCTCCACTCCAGGCCCATATCTCCACTCCAGGCCGATATTTCCACCCTAAGCCCATATCGCCAATCCAGGCCCATATCTCCAATCCAGGCTCAGATCTCCACCCTGGGCCCATATCTCCAATCCAGGCCCTTATCTCCACTCCAGGTCCATATCTCCTCTCCAGTCCCATATCTCCACTCCAGGCCCATATATCCTCTCCAGTCCCATATCTCCACACCCAGGCCCGTATCTCCATCCTAGGCACATATCTCCTCTCCAGGCCCAGATATCGACCTCTAGGCCCATATCTCCACTCCTGGCCCATATCTCCACTCCAGGCCCAGATATCGACCTCTAGGCCCATATCTCCACTCCTGGCCCATATCTCCACTCCAGGCCCATGTCTCCACTTCAGGCCCATATCTCTACTGCAGGCCCGTAACTCCACCTCCAGGCCCATGACTCCACTCCAGGCCCATATCTCCACCTCCAGGCCCATATCTCCCCTCCAGGTTCCTATCTCCCCTCCAGGTTCCTATCTCCACTCCAGGCCCAGATCTCCACTACAGTCCCATCACTCCACCTCCAGGCCTATATCTCGACCTCTGGGCCCAGATCTCCACTTCTAGGCCCATCACTCCATCTCTAGGCCCATATATCCACTCCAGGCCCAGATCTCCACTCCAGGCCCATAACTCCACCTCCAGGCCTATATCTCCACCTCTGGGCCCAGATCTCCATCCCCGCGCTCCCTCCCTCTATTGCTTTCCAGGACTCACCAACACACGCCATGCTGACGACCAAGAGCGACATGGTGCTGCCGGAGCAGACAGGCAGCCGCGACCGAGCTCAGCTCAGCAGCGCACAGGATGTTATTTGGCGCCCTGCCCATGCAGTTTACATGTTGACCACATCATGGGAGGGTGACGTACGCAGGCTCTTTCTACCTTGCATGAGGCCCAGTGGGTGCTCGCTCAAGAGCGGAACACGGCTTCCTGGAAATTGTTCTCGCTAGAATTTGACACCTAGTGTCCTTCACTATGACCAACTCAAAACACGTCTGAGATCCAACCTCCCGAACACGAGATGCCTAAAATCTGTGCTAACATGAAAGACTTTTCATGTATTTCTATTGTTTTTATCTGAGATTCAAACTCTTCTTCCTGTGTAATATGCAAAATATCTAATAGGTATTATTAATGTTTTCAGAGTCATTGTGACTAACAAACCATTAGAATTTTTCATGCTTGTATTTCTAGTATTACAGCAGAACCAGTTAAAATGATTTAAATTCCCAGGGAAGGATTATGCAATTATTTACAATCTTAGAATTGTACTTTATCAGTAAAAACCCCACCTGTAAATTCTGGAGTTTTGTAGTTTAATCTAAAATTTGTCTCATGACCCAAGATTCCAGAGTCCCAACTCTGGAGTTTGTTTTCCGTCTGTCTCTCTCCCTCCCTCATTTTAAATTTTACAGAAATATCCAGTAACATAATGCTATAGAAAATCAAGTTTCCCCAGCACGTTGGGAAGCCGAGGTGGGCGGATCAACTGAGATAAGGAGTTTGAGAGCAGCCTGGCCAATATAGTGAAACCGTGTCTCTGCTAAAAATCCAAAAATTAGCCGTGCCTGGTGGCAGGCACCTGTAACGCCAGCTACTCAAGAGGCTGAGGCACGAGAATCGCTTGAACCTGGGAGGCAGAAGTTGCAGTGAGCTGAGATTGTGTCACTGCAGTCCAGCCTGGGCGACAGAGCAAGACTCCGCCTCAAGAAAAAAAAGCAAATAGCCTATAATAACAAATTAGAGAGCTCTGGCTACTAAATTTAAAGGGTTCTATAAGGCTACATAAAGTGCAGCATCATCAAGAGTGTGGACACAGAGAGCCCCTTAGCAGAAACAGTGTCTAAAGTACATCCATGTACACACAGTCCCTTTAGAGTTGACAAAGGCTGCCGTGTGGTTTAAGGTGGCATAGAATGTCTTCTCAATAAATAATATTAAACCAATGGGTTATACCTAGGAAAAAATAAATCTAACTCACACTATAAAAACACTTCTTAGTTTTTATCTAGTTGTACATTTTTTATGATTTATATTTAAATTTGAGAAATAAAAGTCATATACGGTCATCCTTCACTATTCCTGGGTGATTGGTTTCGAGATCTCCACTCAGATACCAAAATCTGTAGATGCTCAAGCCTCTTAAATGAAATGGCACAGAGTTTGCAAATAACCTATGCACATCCTCCTCTATAGATGAAATCATCTCTAGATTACTTATAATTCCTGATGCAGCCTACACACAGCTTCATTTGTGTCCATTCAACACAGTTCTGCTTTTTGTAACTCTGTGGATACTTTCTCTGAATATTTTTGATTTATACTCGGTTCAATAAAGAACTGTAAACCCCACAGATATGGAGGAGTGACTGTATATTTATAGTGTGAAAGATGATGTGTTGATATGTGTCCCTGTGTAGATGAGACTAACAAGGCCTATGACTCTACAAATGTTTCATCTTGGAATGACTCTGCCAGATTTCCAGGTCTGCAGAGAGTAAGAATATCACTTGTTCATGTGATTCACGATCCTTGGAACCTCCTATGTGCTACATCTTTGGATGGAAATAGGAGTCCCAGAGACAAATGAGGCTCCACCCTGCTTCCAGAAACTCAGAGTCCGGGGGTGAGAACCCAGTGGAGAACAGATGGGGTTATGTGGACATGGTAATGATAACACTGGAAGTCTTAGGCAAGAAAAGAGTCCCATTACCGAAACCATGAGGGCAGACATGTTTATTTGAAGGAGGGAAAACTACA
Source organism: Homo sapiens (assembly GCF_000001405.40). Lineage (NCBI taxonomy): Eukaryota > Metazoa > Chordata > Mammalia > Primates > Hominidae > Homo > Homo sapiens. Next base: position 99,820 of record NW_016107310.1, on the reverse strand, counting down.
TTGAAATTATTTTAAAAAATATATAAGTTTTACTGCTGACAGAAGGCTGAAAGATACTCTGAGGGGAGGTGGAACAGCATGAGGGAAGGTGGAACAGGACGTGTCTAAGTGCCGTGTTAAGAGGGAGCCTCTTGTATGTTTGGAACTGTGAGTTCCTCAGTGTGATTGCAGCCTCAAGTAGACTAGGAAGTAAGCCAGTAAGGTTGGAGAGGTGGGCAGGGGTCAAGTGAAATGGAGAATTGTGGGCTAAGCAAAGGAGTGTGTTTTCTCTCCAGCAGGCAGTGGGGACCTTAGACATTTGTAAGCAAGAGAGAGGCACATTCAGATTTGTGGTGTGAGGAAGAGCGATGCCCTAAGATGCAGACTCACGCCTTCAGATTCCAGCTGCTGGTACATGGGAGCTGGCAACCCGGTTTTGAGACAGGGCTATTGTCTCCCTAGAAGATCCCCTCAAGGCCTGACTGTGGTGCTCATGGGCAGGAGACAACGTTGGATCTGGACTCAGCATTTGGAAGTTCCGTGTACACTCTGGTATCTGTTGGGGGTGTCTTGGGCCTCTGAGAAGGGCGAGTGATTTTTCTCTGTGTGAAAACGCAGTGATCCAACTGTACGTATGTCACCTCCTGAGGGTCTTGTTCATCAGAGTCCTGGAGAGAGGGAAATCCTGAGTGAGGGAGGGTGCTCACATTTTCCAGGACTGTTTGGGAATAACACTAGCCACGAGGCTGGGCCGAGGAGCACCTACCTAGCTATTCGCTGTTCTGTTCCCTGCAGGCTCTTGGTCCATTACAGCAGCATGTGTAGGAGACGGAAGTCAACAAAAGAGCTCGGAGGGCACTTCTGGGTCCTCATTTCATAAGCAGATACCAACAAACAGGGGGAGGCCATAGGAGCCTGAGGTCCCTCAGTTGCCAACAGCAGACTCAGACATTCTATCTCTCTGAGCTCAAGGACCCATCCCATGAATAGCTCTGAGTTCCCATCCCATTGATTCTGTCTCCCACTTTCTGCCTGTCATGGAACCTTCTCCTGGATGTGAGTGGCTGCAGGGGACGTGAGGATACAGTTCAGAATCAGGCAACGGTCTGTGAGCTGAAGGCAGGGACAGGGAGTCTGGTGCCCTCTCTAGAAAGTCCTGCCTCTGTGGCTGCTGCCTTGGGCCAGGGACCATCCTACCTGTGAGGAACACACACCTGAGTGCTCCCATCCTGCTTCCCCACATGGCCCGGAGCTCTCTGGCCTCTCCTTCGTAAGACTTACTTTTCTTGTTGGAGCACCAGCGATGAAGGAGAAAGAAGAGGAGGAGGATGAAGAGGATGATGACCACTGAGGTCCCAATCAGAACGTGCAGGTGTCTTGGGTTACCTGGAAGAAGATGAGACACCAATAAGAAGCTAATCATAGCAGTTCCTTTTTATGAATTGTCTCGCATTTCTTGATTGACAGGTAACCACGTAATACACCTCTTTAGGACAAGCACCCAGATGGCGGGAGACCCAGCTTTCTCCTGCTTTCTCAGTTATAGCTCTCAAAGTAACCATAGAATGTGCTGAGGATACAACTACTTTAGTTGAGATGTTTGACCCCTTCAAACCTCACATTGAAATTTCACCCCCATTGTGGGAGGTTGGGCCTCTTGAGAGGTGTTTGGGTCATGGAGGTGGATCCATCATGAACAGATCAATGCTGTCCCAAGGAGACGGGGTTAGCAAGTTCCCCCTCTATTAGTTCCTGGAGAGCTGGTTGTTCAAAAGAACTTGGAAGCTCCATCACTCCCCCTCCCCCTTGCTCCCTCTCTTGCCGTGTGATCTCTGTGGTCTCTGCACAGACAGACCCTCCTTCCCTTCTGCCAGAGTGGGAGCAGCCTGAGGCCATCACGAGAAATAGATGCTGGTGCCATGCTTCCAGTACAGCCTGCAGAACGGTGAGACAAACCAATCTCTTTTCTTTAGAAGTTGCCCAGGCTCAAGTGTTCCTTTAGAGCAACAAAAATGGACTAAGACAGCAACGTCCTGAGATCAGGAGGAACGTCCCAGAGCAGCCTGGGCTGTCTTCCTGTTCTTCCTGGAGGAGGACGTCATGCAGTGCTTTAGCTGAGTGCTTCCTGTGGCTCCAGGGTACAAAACCCAGGCTGGGCTGCTTTCTGGCTTCCCCCAGCTACACTGCAAATGGGGTGACTCCATATGTCCCGAGCAGCTTTTCTGAGCCTTGAGGGACTGGCTCACATTGAAATGTAGGCTTCTGTTTTCACTCGCTGCTTATCTGTTAGTAATGAACCTGCCTATGTAACGTATTCTCTGTGTGTTCTGTCTCCCTGGAGTGACGGTGAGTGATAGGAATTGGCGTAGGCCCAGGTGCAGTCTAGGAGGTGTTTAGGGTCTTTTCTGGGAAGACTGCACTGGGATTGACACACAGCGAATGTGCTTTAGGATTTCTACATCCACAGCATTCTTGAGTCAAACAACTTGCGTTCTCCAAGGAAAGGAAACAAAAGTGAAATCAAGATAAAAAAGCGAAATAGAGTTATCTTATGTCCAACAGCCAGGAAATCGTGTTGAAGCCCCTGTGAAACGTCCTACTCTTTGTGATCTCGGGAGACACATGTTAGGCTGCTGTTCTACCTGAGAGGCTGGGGGAAGGACCACCCCCTCCACCATCTATTGCTTCAATACCACCTGTCCTCCTGTGAATTAGTAGGAAAGGGGAGCAGGAGCTAGTGCTGGTGCTGATCTCTCATTCCAAGATCTGGACTCACTCCAAGGAGTATTAATGTTTACCTCCCCATGGTCTATCTGAATCTCCACAGGTGATTGGAAGTAGGGGTGAAGTGGGGGATTTGAGTGAGACGGCAAGTTTTTTTTGTGATGAACAGAGCACTTTCTCTATTCCACGATCTGTGCTGGAGGATTCAGCGGGCTTTCACATTTTCTATATGGTCTCATGCTCACAGAAAGCCAAATACGGAAGAGGTTTTAGGCTCATTGCCTAATGGATAAGACAAAGGATCAAAGAAGTAATTATAGAGAAATACAAAAATGATGATTGGAATTCAGGTGCCTTTGTCATTCGTGTGTGTTTTATTATATTTATGCATTTCTTATTTTTATTTTTTGAGACGGAGTCTCCTTGTGTCACCCAGGCTGGAGTGCAGTGATGCAATCTCCACTCACTGCAACCTCCACCTCCTGGGTTGAAGTCATTCTCCTGCTTCATCCTCAAGAGTAGGAGCTGGGATTACAGGGATGCACCACCATGCTCGACTAATTTTTGTATTTTTCATAGAGACAGGGTTTCACCATTTTGGCCAGGCTGGTCTGGAACTCCTGACTTCAAGTGATCCACCCGCCTTGGCCTCCTGCAGTGCTGGGAATTGCCTTTTCCACGGCCTGAGCATGGGGCCGTGGCTGAATGAGTCAGTGAGTCGAAGTGTGCGTGCATGAGCTCCGTTCTCTGTTAAGGCAAAGCTCTTGCTCTGCTGAGTCAGCCAGGGTTGCTTCATGACCAACAGTAATTCATTCCTGGGCAAGTGGAACTTCTCTAAAACACCTCGCCCTCATCAAATGTTCCCTACCCTTCCCTCTCTCAAGCCCCCAGGAATTTATCCTCCAGTTAGGAATGCAGGCAGAACAAACATTGCATTTTTCCTGAGAAGGATGTCAGATTGCCAATCATTTTTCTAGCTTGTAGGAGATCTCAGCTCCATAAAATGAGAGATTAAGAGATTTCACTCAGCCCTGTTTTGGGTCCAGATCCCTTTCGCTGTTGGAGTATCTGGAGTTCGGAGATGGTAGAAGACAGGCGTACAATGTCAGAGCTGTGAGATGCTGAGTCAACGCCTGAATCCAAGGTTTCCACCTCCCCAGGTTTCCAAAAGCGGATATAAGAGGGTTCTGTACTCACCGGTTTCGGAGCTTGGTTCAGTGGGTGAAGGCCAACTATTTGAAGGGTTTCCTAGAACACGAGACAGGAGAGAGGTGAGGAAATGAGGGTGTCTGTCCTCTACTCAGTGGAAATCTTTGAGGTTGGTTCATGGCCAACACTCTGTTATCTAATATTGGGCCCTGGGAGTCCTGGGATCCTTTTTTCCGTAATTTTTGTATGTGACGGCTACTGTCTTGAGACTTCAAGGTATAAAGAGAAAACAGGAGCATCACACTACCTGATCTCAAAATATGTTGCAGAGCTGTAGTAAGCAAGACAGCATGACATTGGCATGAAGAAAGGCACATAGAACAACGGAGCAGAATGAATAACACAGATATAATCCATGCATTTACCTCCAATGTATTTTTTGTTTTTCTTTTGAGATGGAGTCTTGCTCTGTCACCCAGGCTGGAGTGCAGAGGTGCAATCTCGGTTCACTGCCACCACAGCCTCCTGGGTTCAATCACTTCTCTGGCCTCAAACTCCTGAGTAGTGGTATTACAGGTGCTGACCACCATGCTCAGCTAATTTTTATATTTTTAGTGGAGACGATGTTTCATCACGTCGGCCAGAGTAATCTTGTACTCCTGTCCTCAGGTGATCCACCAGCCTTGGCCTCCCAAAGTGCTGAAGTTGCTGGTGTTAGCCACCATGCCCAGCCCATCCAATGGACTTTGACAAAGGTGCCAAGAACTCACAATCAGGAAAGGACAGTCTTTTCAATAAACAGTGCAGGGAAACCTGGACATCTACATGCAGAGGAATGAAACTGCACCTCTGCCTGTCACTATACACAAAAATCAAATGAAAATGGATTAAAGATGTGAGTCTAAGGCCTGAACCTATGAAACACGTAGAAGAAAATATTGGGGAAATGCTCCAGGACGTTTGTCTGAGGGAAGACATTTTGTTTTAAACCTTGAAAACACAAGTAATCGAAGCAAAAATAGACCATTGGGATTACCTCAAACTAAGCAACTTCTGCACTGCTAAAAATAAACCAACAAAGTGAAGAGACAACCCACAGATTGGGAGCAAATATGTGCAAACTATGCATCTGAGATGGGATTAATAACTAGAAATATAAGAAGCTCAAACAACTCAATAAAACAAATGATTTAATTGAAACAGGAGCAAAAGACATGAAATTTCCCCACATACTAAAAAGTGCTCAGTATCACTCATCATCAGAGAAACGCAAATTAAAATCAAAGTGAGTTTTCATCTCACCCCATTAAAATGGCTTTTAGGCCGGGTGAGGTGGCTCACGTCTGTCATCCTAGAACTTTGAGAGCCTGAGGTGGGTGAATCTCATAAGGTCGGGAGTTTGAGACCAGTCTGACCCACATGGAGAAACACTGTCTCTACTAAAAATACAAAAATTAGTCGGGCGTGGTGGCGTGTGCCTGTAATTCCAGCTACTCGGGAGGCTGAGGCAGGAGAATCGCTTGAACCTGGGAGGTGGAGGTTGCGGTGAGCCGAGATCGCACCACTGCACTCAGCCTGGGTGACAAGAGCGAAACTCCATCTCAAAATAAAATGAAATAAAATAAAATGGCTTTTAGCTGCAAGACAGGCAAAAGAAATGCTGGCAAGGTGTTAGAGAAAGGAGAATCCTGGTATCCTGTTGGGAGGAGTGTAAATTAGTACAGCCATTACGGAGAAAAGTGTGGAAGTCCTTTAAAGAACTAAAAAGAGGTTGGGTGAGGTGGATCAGGCCTGTAATCCCGGCACTTTGGGAGACCGAGGCGGGCACCTCAGTTGAGGTCATGAGTTTGAGAGCAGCCCAGCCAACATGGGGAAACCGCATCTATACTAAAAAAAACAAAAAGTAGCCAGGCATGGTGGCGTGCGCCTATAATCCCTGATACTAGGGAGGCTGAGGCAGGAAAATCATTTGAACCCAGGAGGCAGAGGTTGCAATGAGCCAAGATCATATCACTTGTACTCCAGCCTGGCACAGAGGGAAACTGTCTCAAAAACAAAAACAAAACAACAAACGAAAAACTAAAAAGAGAACTTTCATAGTATCCAGCAATTTCACTACTGGGTTTATATCCAAAGGAAAGTAAATCAATATATCGAAGTGATATCTGCACTCGTATGATTGGTGCAGCACTCTTCACAGTAGCCAAGATGTGGAGTCAACCTACCTGCCCATCAGTGGGTGAATGGATAGAGAGAATGTGGTACATTTGCATAGTGGAGACTACTCTTCCATAGAAAGAATAACATCCTGATATTTGCAGCCACATGGATGGAACTGGAGGTCATTACAAAGATTCCCATTTCTTACCCATATACAGGAGCTAAAAGGTGGATCTCATGAAGGTAGAGAGTAGAATGGTGGCTACCAGAGGCCAGGAAGAAAAGGGTGGAGGGTAAAAAAAAATATATGTGTATATATATATATATTAATGTATTTATGACCACTAGACTTTACACTTAAAAATGGTAAATGTGGCTGGGCGTGGTGGCTCATGCCTGTAATCCCAGCACTTTGGGAGGCTGATGCGGGTGGATCACGTGGTCAGGAGTTCGAGACCAGCTTGACCAACATGGTGAAACCCCCTCTCTACTAAAAATACAAAAAGTAGCCTGGCATGGTGGTGCGCGCCTGTAGCACCAGCTACTCAGGTGGCTGAGGCAAGAGAATCGCTTGAACCCAGGAGGCGGAAGTTGCAGTGAGCTGAGATTGTGCCAATGCACTCCAGCATAGGGGACAGAGCTAGACTCCGCCTCAAAAAAAAAAATGTTAAAGGTGGTAAGCTATATAGTTATATTTATCCTCAATAAATATTTCTCAAACAAAAGTAAACGGTGTAGGGGTTGCAGGTGATGACATCCCTGTGTGGGTGGGAGGCCAGGATGGGCTTCTGGGAAATGGGTAATGTTGAGGGGCTGAGGGAACCTCTGATCTTCCCAAACTGAGCCCAGTCTCCCTCCTCTGGGTCTCTCCTGACCGCTTTCTCCATCTGCCTGGGTGCCTGGAGTCCTGGCCGCAGGCCTTCATGCAGGCCATGTAGGAGGGTTTGGAGGTGCCCTGTCTGCCATCCTGTGCCCTGATCCCTCCCTCACACCCAAGCTTCGTCTTCTCTCTGCATCTGTTCATCCTTCTCTCCATCCTCAGCAGGAAGCTCCTCAGCTAAGGCTCTAGGATCATAGGACATGGGACAGCCATGGGCTTTCCTCACCTGTGACAGAAACAAGCAGTGGGTCACTCGAGTTTGACCACTCGTAGGGAGAGTCACGGAAAGAGCCGAAGCATCTGTAGGTTCCTCCGTGGGTGGCAGGGCCCAGAGGAAAGTCAGCCTGGAATGTTCCGTTGACCTTGGGCCCTGCAGAGAACCTACGTTCATGGGCCTCCCCCTCCGTGGATAGATGGTACATGTCATAGGAGCTCCGGGAGCTGCAGGACAAGGTCACGCTCTCTCCTGCCAGAACCGTGGGGCCCGGCTGGGCTGAGAGAGAAGGTTTCTCATATAGACCTGGAAGGAGAAGAGGCATTTTCCTTACGGAGGCTCTTCCTTGTCACAGCTCCCTTCACCTGAGCTGAGAACTCACTCCCCTGCTCTATGACCTAATGCTCTCTCTCTCTCTCTCTCACCCTCCACCCCATCTCTCTTCATGTCTATTTCCTCCTTCCACCTTCTCTGTCTCTCTAGGTCTCTGACCTCGCTTCCACACCTCTAGATATGTTTTCCCTTTTTGGATTGTTTTATTCTCTCTGACTCTCCTTGGATTGGTTCACTTGATGTTACTTTTTTAAATTCTAAGTTTCTCACTTTGTGTCCTGTTCATAACTTTCTGCATATTTCTATCTATTATCTGTCGATCTATCTATTTATCTATTCGGTGCCTATCTACAAATTCTCTACCTGTCATCTATATCTATATATCATCTATGTATCTATCACTTGTCTATCTATCCATCAATCATCTGTTATCTATATCTATGTATCATCTCTCTCTCTATGACTTCTGTCTGCCTCTCTATCTCTATGTATTATCTATCTGTCTTCATCATCATCATCTCTATGTCTCATCTATTAATGAATCAATCAATCATCATCTATGTATCTTTAACCTATTATCTATCATCTACCTATTTATCATCTATCTATATCTAACCATCTATCATCTGTCTTGCTCTGCCTCTCGGTCTCTCTAGTTCTCTTTGGAATCTCTGCAATTCATCCCCACATCTCCATCTTTCTATGTCCTTGTGCCTCTCCCTCAGGACTCTAATTTTAGTGCTTTTCTCTGCTCCCTTCCATCATTCTCACCACTCCTCTGCCCTCTTTTCTCTCTCTTTATGTGTCTGTGAGTCTCTCAATCTCCTTCCTCTGGCTCATTCTCTGTGTGTTTATGTCTTTGCTTTTTGGTGTCCCTGATTTCTCTCTGTGCCTCTCAGTGATCCTTTCATATGTGGGGTTATTTGGAATGTGAGCCTCAGAATCCAGTCTGGAGACCACAAGTTCACACAGCATACAGGGGTTGGTGTTCTGGGGCCATGATATCCTGGGACGGTTACTCTCCATTACATGGAAGGCAGAGGTGTGAGAATAAACACGGCATCTGTAGGTGCCACAAGGCCTGAGGCCACAGGGCCCAACTCAGGTCAGAAATATGGGTGTCCTTGGGTTCTCCTGGTAGAGAACACTTTGTGGAGGTAAAACAGAAATGAAACTTCTAACCTGTGCCAGGTCTCTGAGCAAAGTCAGCATGGAGGGACACCTCTCTCTGGGACATGTCTGTCTGTCTGTCTCCTTTAACTCCTTCTGTCTTTTCTAACTCCCGGTATGGCCCCTGTGTCTGTCCTCTGTTATGACACCTGGTCTGTACTTGTGTCTCCTGTTTCTCTGTCTCTGTTGGTACAGACCTCACCAAGTCAGTCTCTCTCCATAAGAATACCAAGCTCATCTTCCTTACAACTACCTGGGGGTTCCAAGTCGTGGATCATTCACTCTGCATCCCAATGACAATGAGAAGAATGTCCGGACACTCTCACCTGTGATGACGATGTCCAGAGGGTCACTGGGAGCTGACAACTGATGGGGGAGTGAGTAACAGAACCGTAGCATCTGTAGGTCCCTGCCAGGTCTTCCATCATGGGACCGATGGAGAAGTTGGCCTTGGAGACCCCATCATGGTGCTCTCCAGTGAGGTGCAAAGTGTCGTTAAATGTCCCCTCTCTGTGCAGAAGGAAGTGCTCAAACCTGACATCTGACCAACATTGCAGGATGACTGTCTCTTCTGATTTCACCAGGGGACCTGGGTGGGCCAGGAGGGAAGGTTTTCTGTGGACTCCTAGGAAGAGAGGTTGTGAGTTTAGAAGGTGTCTCTCTTTATCATCCCATCCATGGCACCTAGAATGAGTGAGGCTTCCCCTTGCTGGTGTCTGTCTCTCTCCTTCCTCTCTGTGTCTTCATGTTCTTTTCTGTGCCCATAACTCCTGGTGCAGGTCCTTCCATCTGTCTCCCTCCCTCTTCTCTGTCTCTCTGTCTCTAGTCGCCTCTGATTCCCTTCCCACTGGGCTTAGCCTCATCTCTTGGGGTGTTGTATCTATTTCACACTAATGTCTTTCCTGCTGTTTATGTGGGGGTGAAAGAGGAACCAGGATAGGCTGCACATCCAGCCTCTTATCAGCCTGGTTCAATCTCTTTTGGATGAATTGGAATCCTTGGCAGGAGGTATGAACTGATGAATAAGGCAGGCAGCAGTGTCCACACACCCTGTTCCTGGTCGGGACTGGGAGCCACTCTTGCCATGCCTGTGCCTTCTCCATGGTGCCAGCTTCCATAGGCTGGCTCCTGGTGCTGGTTTGAGGAGTATCAACCCCTCCCTATGTGGATGGAGCCTGGTGGTGGCATCATCATCCCACACTTGCTGATCTAGGTGTAGCCAACCTTCCCCTTGTTTGGTTCCTTTAATTAATTAATTAATTATGGAGATCAGAGTCTCACTCCTTCACCCCAGCTGGAGTGAAGTGGTGTGGTCTAGGGTCACTGCAACTTCTGTCTCCTGGGTTCAAGTGATTCTCCTGCCCTCAGCCTCCCAAGTCGCTAGGATTACATGCGCCTGCCACCACACCCGGCTATCCTTGTGTTGTTTCTTAACTTGTCCTTGACCTGGGTTCCAGTGTTGGTTTCCTGTTGCTGCTGTAGAAAATTATCAGCAGCATGGCAGCAGGAGAGAGCACACTGACCCATTTCACTACTGGAGACAGAAATAGGACCCTGTTTTTCCTGGGCTAAAATCAAGGCATCTGCAGGGCTTCGTTCCCTCTGGAGACTCTGGAGAATCATTTCCTTGACTTTTCCAGCCTCTACAGGCCACCTGCATTCATGGCTCCTGGACTTCCTCCACCTTCAAAGCTGGTGGAGTCTCCCATTGCGCTGCTCTAATCCCCACTCCCCTCTTCCTCCTCCTTTCATGTGGACCCTTGTGATTACACTGAGCCCAGCGGGACAGTCCAGGCTGTCTCCCCATCTCAAGGTCAACTCATCAACAACCTGAGCTCCATCTTCCCCTTCAGTTCCTTCCCCTATAACATAAATAGTCACAGACTCCAGGGATTAGAATGTAGTCATCACTGGGGACAATTATTCTTCCCACCACAGCACCCATTTCCCTGTATTCAATCCCCCTTTACCCCAAATATAGTCAGGGCCTGGGTGATGGGACCCTCAAGGACACGCCCACCAGAAGCTCTGGGATTCAGGAGGTGGGAAAGGAGAATCCAAGACAGGAGCCCTCTGACCTGTGGCCATGATCACCAGGGGGTTGCTGGGTGCCGACCACCCACTGGGGGAGTGTGGGTGTGAACCCCGACATCTGTACGTCCCTGTGTGTGCTGGGGTCACAGGGCCCATGAAAAGGCTCTTCCAGAATATTCTGTTGTAGAGCTCAGTGCCAGGCACCCCATCTTCCTTTTACAGACTGAAGTTGTTAAACCCAAGATAAGAATGACACCGAAGAATCACATGTCCTGGAGGCACCACAGAGCTGGGCCAGGCAGACAGCAAGGGCTTGTCCTGACCACCTTGGGGAGAAGGAGGCACCGCCTTAGAGAGGAGGATGTGGAGCCACCCCTCCCTCCCTGTGCTCTGAAGATTCTCCTCGCTTTCCAAGTTTCTATGGCTGCTATCACACCTTGGTGCCCAGGGCTAAAGGAAGGACCCATCCCGCAAACACAAGGTGTCTCCCTACAACAAAAGTGTCAGCTGAGAACTTTGAGCAAGTGCTGAGTAAGAGACTCCTACTAGATTTTAATACTGTAAGATTACTCACATAAAACAACACAGGGTAGACATGGGGTGGAGGGCATGTCCTTTGAGAATGGAATATCAGCCGATGCCTGAATGAAAATAAGCAACTGAGCCCCCATCAGAGGATTTGGAATGTCAGGGCCATGGCTGTGGTTTCCCACCTCTTCTGGTGGAGTGACAGCAGCCACACTGCAGCCCCTACCGTCATGGAAACGCTGAAGTGTGAGTAACACCTTTGTCCTCAGAGGATCTGCTGTTCCTACCACTTCCCCACCACACACCCCAGCTTTGAGCACCCCAGTCTAACCCTGGTCCCCACAGAACTTGACTCTGCCAAGGGAATGAAAGGCCAGGGAGGCGAGGTCGGAACTGTGGGCCGAGCACCCCAGGGTCCCCTCTTCCTAGTTTATGAGAGGCTCCCCGACAGGACTTCCCTCCTGTTTCAGGAAAATCCTCTTATGTGGGGAGATGACACCCGAAGGTTTGGAGAAGGACTCACCCTCATGTGGCCAGGCCCCCTGCAGCAAGAAGAACCCTGGAAAGAAAGATCATGATGGACCATCCATCTGCAGGCGAACCAGCCCTCCCTTGCTGCCCTCACTGGGCTGTGAGTCTTGGTAGGCAGGCCCTTCCTGGGCTGAAGTTAAACTCACCCTCAGTGCCTACCTGCACCCAAGAACAGGGCTGTCGGCTGTGCAGAGACCCAGCCTCCAAGCCCAGATCCCCACCACAAGCCCATATCCCCACCAGAAGCCCATATCTCCACTCCAGGCCAATATTTCCACCCTAGGCCTGTATCTCCACTCCAGGCCCATATCTCCACTCCAGGCCGATATTTCCATCATAGGCCCATATCGCCAATCCAGGCCCATATCGCCAATCCAGGCCAAGATCTTCACTGTAAGCCCATATCTCCAATCCAGGCCCATATCTCCACTCCAGGCTCAGATCTCCACCCTAGGCCCATATCTCCAATCCAGGCCCATATCTCCACACCAGGCCCATATCTCTACTGAAGGCCAGTAACTCCACCTCCAGGCCCATATCTCCACTCCAGGCCCAGATCTCCACCCCAAGCCCATATCTCCACCCCAGGCCCATATCTCTACTGAAGGCCCGTAACTCCACCTCCAGGCCCATATCTCCACCCCAGGCCCAGATCTCCACCCCAAGCCCATATCTCCACTCTAGGCCCATATCTCCTCTCCAGTCCCATATCTCCACAACCAGGCCCATATCTCCATCCTAGGCCCATATTTCCACTCTAGGCCCAGATATCCACCTCTAGGCCCATATCTCCACTCCTGGCCCAAATCTCCACTCCAGGCCCATATCTCTACTATAGGCCTATAACTCCACCTCCAGGCCCATATCTCCACTCCAGGCTCCTATCTCCCCTCCAGGTTCCTATCGGCACTCCAGGCCCAGATCTCCACTTCTAGGCCCATCACTCCATCTCTAGGCCCATATATCCACTCCAGGCCCAGATCTCCACTCCAGGCCCACAACTCCACCTCCAGGCCTATATCTCCACCTCTGGGCCCAGATCTCCAACCCCACACTCCCTTCCTCTATTCCCTTCCAGGACTCACCAACACACGCCATGCTGACGACCGTGAGCGACATGGTGCTGCCGGTGCAGACAGGCGGCCGCGCCCCAGCTCAGCTCAGCAGCGCACAGGATGTTATTTGGCGCCCTGCCCATGCAGTTTACATGTTGACCACATCATGGGAGGGTGACGTACGCAGGCTCATTCTACCTTGCATGAGGCCCAGTGGGTGCTCGCTCAAGAGCGGAACACGGCTTCCTGGAAATTGTTCTCACTAGAATTTACACCTAGCGTCCTTCACTATGACCAACTCAAAACACGTCTCAGATCCAACCTCCTGAACACGAGATGCCTAAAATCTGTGCTAACGTGAAAGACTTTTCATGTATTTTTATTGTTTTTATCTGAGATTCAAACTCTTCTTCATGTGTAATATGCAAAATATCTAATAGGTATTATTAAGGTTTTCAGAGTCATTGTGACTAATAAACCATTAGAATTTTTCATGCTTGTATTTCTAGTATTACAGCAGAACCAGTTAAAATGATTTAAATTCCCAGGGAAGGATTATGCAATTATTTACAATCTTTGAATTGTACGTTATCAGCAAAAACCACACATTTAAACTCTGGATTTTTGTAGATTTATCTAAAATTTGTCTCATGACCCAAGTTTCCAGAGTCCCAACTCTGGAGTTTGTTCTCTCTCTGTCTCTCTGCCTCCCTCATTTTAAATTTTACAGAAATATCCAGTAACATAATGCTATAGAAAATCAAGTTTCCCCCAGCACGTCGGGAAGCCGAGGTGGGCGGATCAACTGATATAAGGAGTTTGAGAGCAGCCTGGCAACACAGTGAAACCGTGTCTCTGCTAAAAATCCAAAAATTAGCCGTGCCCAGTGGCAGGAACTTGTAACGCCAGCTACCCAAGAGGCTGAGGCACGAGAATCGCTTGAACCTGGGAGGCGGAGGTTGCAGTGAGCTGAGATTGCACCACTGCAGTCCAGCCTGGGCGACAGAGCAAGACTCCGCCTCAAGAAAATAAAAATAGCAAATAGCCTATAATAACAAATTAGAGGCCTCTGGCTACTAAATTTAAAGGGTTCTATGGGGCTACATAAAGTGGAGCATCCTCAAGAATGTGGACACAGAGAGCCGTTTAGCAGAGACAGTGTCTAAAATACACATCCGTGTACACACAGTCCCTTTTTAGTTGACAAAGCTGCCGTGTGGTTTAAGGTGGCATAGAATGTCTTCTCAATAAATAATATTAAACCAAAGGGTTACACATAGGAAATAATAAATCTAAACTTATTCTCACACTATAAAAACACTTCTTAGTTTTTATCTAGTTATTGTACATTTTTTATGATTTATATTTAAATTTGAGAAATAAAAGTCCTATACCGTCATCCTTCACTATTCATGGGTGATTGGTTTCGAGATCTCCACTCAGATACTAAAATCTGCAGATGCTCAAGCCTCTTACGTAAAATGACACAGCATTTGGATATAACCCATGCACATCCTCCTGTATACATGAAATCATCTCTTGATTACTTATAATTCCTGATACAGCCTATACACCACCTCATTTGTGTGCATTCAACACAGTTTTGCTTTTTGGAACTTTGTGGGCTTTTTCTCTGAATATTTTTGATTTATACTTGGTTCAATAAACACCTGTAAACCCCACAGATACGGAGGAGCGACTGTATATTTATAGTATGAAAGATGATGCGTTGACATGTGTCCCCGTGGAGATGAGACTAACAAGGCCTATGACTCTACAAATGTTTCATCATGGAATGACTCTGCCAGCTTTCCAGGTCTGCAGAGAGTAAGAATATCACTTGTTCATGTGATTCACGATCCTTGGAACTTCCTATGTGCTGCATCTTTGGATGGAAATTGGAGTCTCAGAGACAAGTCAGGGTCCACCCTGTTCCAGAAGCTCAGAGTCCAGGGGTGAGAACCCAGTGGAGAACAGATGGGGTTATGTGGACATGGTAATGATAACACCGGAAGCCTTAGGAAAGAAAAGAGTCCCATTACCGAAACGATGAGGGCAGACATGTTTATTTGAAGGAGGGAAAACTACATTGAAATTACTAAAAACAATTTATAAGTTTTACTGCTGACAGAAGGCTGAAAGATAGTCTGAGGGGAGGTGGAACTGCATGAGGGAAGGTGGAACAGCACGTGTCTAAGTGCCGTGTTAAGAGGGAGCCTCTTGTATGTTTGGAATTGTGAGTTCCTCAGTGTGATTGCAGCCTCAAGTAGACTAGGAAGTAAGCCAGTTAGGTTGGAGAGGTGGGCAGGGGTCAAGTGAAATGGAGAATTGTGGGCTAAGCAAAGGAGTGTGTTTTCTCTGCAGCAGGCAGTGGGGACCTTAGACATTTGTAAGCAAGAGAGAGGCATGTTCAGATTCGTGGTGTGAGGAAGAGCGATGCCCTAAGATGAAGACTGATGCCTTCAGATTCCAGCTGCTGGTACATGGGAGCTGGCAACCCGGTTTTGAGACAGGGCTGTTGTCTCCCTAGAAGATCCCCTCAAGGCCTGACTGTGGTGCTCGTGGACAGAAGACAGCTTTGGATCTGGACTCAGCATTTGGAAGTTCTATGTACATGCTGCTATCTGTTGGGGGTGTCTTGGGCCTCTGAGAAGGGGGAGTGATTTTTCTCTGTGTGAAAACACAGTGATCCAATTATGCGTATGACACCTCCTGATGGTCCTGTTCATCAGAATCCTGGAGAGAGGGAAATGCTGAGTGAGGGAGGGTGCTCACATTTTTCAGGACTCTTTGGGAATAAGACTAGCCACGAGGCTGGGCCGAGGAGCACCTACCTCCCTGTTCACTGTTCTGTTCCCCGCAGGCCCTTGGTCCATTACAGATGCATCTGTAGAAGATGGAAGTCAACAAAACAGCTCGGAGGGCACTTCTGGGTCCTCATTTCATAAGCAGATACCAACAAACAGGGGGAGGCCATAGGTGCCTGAGGTCCCTCAGTTGCCAACAGCAGACTCAGACATTCTATCTCTCTGAGCTCAAGGACCCATCCCATGAATAGCTCTGAGTTCCCATCCCATTGATTCTATCTCCCACTTTCTGCCTGTCATGGAACCTTCTCCTGGATGTGAGTGGCTGCAGGGGACGTGAGGGTACAGTTCAGAATCAGGCAATGGTCTGTGAGCTGAAGGCAGGGGCAGGGAGTCTGGTGCTCTCTCTAGAAAGTCCTGCCTCTGTGGCTCCTGTCTTGGGCCAGGGACCATCCTGCCTGTGAGGAACACACACCCACGTGCTAACATCCTGCTTCCCCACATGGCCCTGAGCTCTCTGGCCTCTGCTTCGTGAGACTTACTTTTTTTGTCGGAGCACCAGCGATGAAGGAGAAAGAAGAGGAGGATGGTGAAAGGGAGTTTGACCACTGAGGTCCCAATCAGAACGTGTAGGTGTCTGGGGTTACCTGGAAGAAGAGGAGACACCAATAAGAAGCTAATCATAGCAGTTCCTCTTTATGAATTGTCTCGCATTTCTTGATTGACAGGTAACCACATACAACGTCTCTTTAGGACAAGCACCCAAATGGTGGGAGACCTAGCTTTCCCCTGCTTTCTCAGTTATAGCTCTCATAGTAACCATAGAACGTGCTGAGGATACAACTACTTTAGTTGAGATGTCTGACCCCTTCAAACCTCACATGGAAATTTCACCCCCAGTGTGGGAGGTTGGGCCTCTTGGGAGGTGTTTGGGTCATGGAGGTGGATCCATCATGAACAGAACAATGCTGTCCCAAGGAGACGGGGTTAGCAAGTTCCCCCTCTATTAGTTCCTGGAGAGCTGGTTGTTCAAAAGAGCTTGGAAGCTCCATCGCTCCCCCTCCCCCTTACTCTCTCTCTTGCCGTGTGATCTCTGCGGTCTCTGCACAGACAGACCCTCCTTCCCTTCTGCCAGAGTGGGAGCAGCCTGAGGCCGTCACAAGAAATAGATTCTGGTACCATGCTTCCAGTACAGCCTGCAGAACGGTGAGGCAAACCGATCTCTTTTCTTTAGAAGTTACCGAGGCTCAAGTTTTCCTTTAGAGCAACAAAAAAAAACTACGACAGCAACGTACTGAGATCAGGAGGAATGTCTCAGAACAGCCTGGGCTGTCTTCCTGTTCTTCCTGGAGGAAGGCGTCATGCAGTGCTTTAGCTGAGTGCTTCCTGTGGCTCCAGGGTACAAAACCCAGGCTGGGCTGCTTTCTGGCTTCCCCCAGCTACACTGCAAATGGGGTGACTCCATATGTCCCGAGCAGCTTTTCTGAGCCTTGAGGGACTGGCTCACATTGAAATGTAGGCTTCTGTTGTCACTCGCTGCTTATCTGTTAGTAATGAACCTGCCTGTGTAATGTATTCTCTGTGTGTTCTGTCTCCCTGGAGTGACGGTGAGTGATAGGAATTGGCATAGGCCCAGGTGCAGTCCAGGAGGTGTTTAGAGTCTTCTCTGGGAAGACTGCACTGGGATTGATACACAGCGAATGTGCTTTAGGATTTCTACATCCAGGGCATTCTTGAGTCAAACAACTTGCATTCTCCAAGAAAAGGAAACAAAAGTGAAATCAAGATAAAAAAAGCGAAGTAGAATTCTCTTATGTCAAATGGCCAGGAAACAGTGTTGAAGCCCATGTGAAACGTGCTACTCTTTGTGATCTCCGGAGACACATGTTAGGCTGCTGTTCTACCCCAGAGGCTGGGGGAAGGACCACCCCCTCGGCCATCTATTGCTTCAATACCACCTGTCCTCCTGTGAATTAGTAGGAAAGGGGAGCAGGAGCTAGTGCTGACGCTGATCTCTGATTCCAAGATCTGGACTCACTCCAAGGAGTATTAGAATTTACCTCCCCATGGTCTATCTGAATCTCCACAGATGATTGGAAGTAGGGGTGAGGTGGGGGATTTGGGTGAGAGGGCATGTTTTTTTTGTGATGAACAGAGCACTTTGTGTATTCCAGGATCTGTGCTGGAGGATTCAGCGGGCTTTCACATTTTCTATATGATCTCATGCTCACAGAAAGCCAAATAGGGAAGAGGTTTTAGGCTCATTGCCTAATGGATAAGATAAAAGATCAAAGAAGTAATTATAGAGAAATAGAAAAATCATGATTGGAATTCAGGTCCCTTTGTCATTTGCGTGTGTTATATTATATTTATATTTATGCATTTCTTATTTTTATTTTTTGAGACGGAGTCTCCTTGTGTCACCCAGGCTGGAGTGCAGTGATGCAATCTCCACTCACTGCAACCTCCACCTCCTGGGTTGAAGTCATTCTCCTGCTTCATCCTCCAGAGTAGGAGCTGGGATTACAGGGATGCACCACCATGCTCGGCTAATTTTTGTGTTTTTCCTAGAGACAGGGTTTCACCAGGTTGGCCAGGCTGGTCTCGAACTGCTGACTTCATGTGATCCACCCTCCTTGGCCTCCTGCAGTGCTGGGTTACAGGCGTGAGCCACCGTTCACAGACTTGTATATTATGCTATAATAGGTCCCTTCATTTCCACCACCACTCATATATCTGTCACTCCTTTGCCAGGTATTGATTTATGTGTAGTAGGAATAAAGCTCAGAAAGAAATTAAGCGAGGATTAGACAACTAGGAAAATCATACCCAGCAAGCCTTTCCAGCCAATGATTCCACCTCACAAGCATAGCTTATATCCATCTGCTTCACCCAGTTAGGGTCTAAATCAGCACCACATTTCACCAGTGAGGCGGGAATTGCCTTTTCCACAGTCTCCTAGATTCTAGTTACGCACCTGGGCCTCCCTTATTTTCATGTCAGTCATATTAATCATGTAGGGATTCCTGGTTACCCCGAGGTGAATCCAATGGCTGTGAGTGTCAAACACACACTCCTTGTTGCTCCTTAGTTTCCTGTGTACCCAGTGTGCTCTCCGTCTCTCCACAGTCGTCTTGTCATTCTCCCCACGTCATTCCCAGCATTTGAGGAAGAGCCTCTTCCTTCAACATCAGATTATTTTCACCTTTGTGCGTTCACGGCTGACAGCTGTGTGTGGAAAATCCTTCCACCAATCTTTCAGGGGTTCAATCCGTGTTTTTCATTAATGTCACAAATATCTGATTAGTGAGATCTTCTCTGTCACCCAAAATCATACACTCAGCATTATGTATTATTTATTTTAAATTCTGGCTGGGCACAGTGGCTCACGCCAGTTATCCCAGTACTTTAGGATGCTGAGACGGTCGGATCACTTGAGGTTGGGAGTTTCAGAGAAGCTTGGCGAAGATGGTGAAACATCCTCTACAAAAAATATACAAAAAGAATTAGCCGGGCATGGTGGCAGTTGCCTGTAATCCCAGCTACTTGAGAGGCTGACGCAGGAGAATCACTTGGATCCAGAAGGTGCAGGTTGCAGTGAGCCAAGATGGTGACACTGCACTGTAGCCTGGAAGACAGAGGGCGACTCTGTCTCAATAAACAAATGAAGAAACAAACAAATAGATTTCATACACAGATGCTTCCCAATGGATCATTCATTTATTGGTCCACTTGTGCATTCATTTTCTGCCCTCCCATTTAACCATCTGCAATATCAGTGTCCCAAGAGCAGAGGCCAAATGCATCTTGTTCACTGTTTGTGGAAGGTAGGAGAATGCTGTCCCACCCCAAAATGTCCCTGTCCTAGCCTCCATAGCTTGTGAATATCTTATTTTACATGGAAAGGAGGAATGAAGATTGCAGATGGAATTATGGTTGCTAATCAGCTGAACTTAAAACAAGGGTATCCTGAATGATTTCCGGGAGATTATGATGGATTTTCATCTTGGTGAACCCAATAGAATCCCCAAGTTTTCAAAAGATGAGGAAGAAGGGAGAGCAGCATTCAGAGAAAGAGGTGTGGTAAGGAAGAAGGGTCTGAGTGATGCCATGTGAGATGTGACCAGCCTTTGTGGGCTTTGAGGAAGGAGGAAGGGGACCAGGAGCGAAGGAATGTGGGAGCCTCTAGAAGCTGAGAAAAGTGAGAAGCAGATTCTTGCCTGGAATCCTCAGAGGGAAGGCAGCCTTGCTGTCACCTTGATTTTAGCCCAGTGAGATGCACTTCATACTTTGAGCTACAGCACTGCAAGATAATTAAAAAACCGTTTTGTTTTCACCCACGAATCTTGTGGAAATTTGTTATGGCAACAATAGGAAAAGCTTCCACACTGCACAGCCTGAGCATGGGGCCGTGGCTGAATGAGTCAGTGAGTCGAAGTGTGCGTGCATGAGCTCTGTTCTCTGTTACAGCAAGGCTCTTTCTCTGCTGAGTCAGCCAGGGTTGCTTCATGACCTATAGGAGCTCATTCCTTGGCAAGTGGAACTTCTCTAAAACACCTCGCCCTCATCAGATGTTCCCTTCCCTTCCCTCTCTCAAGTCTCCAGGAATTTATCCTCCAGTTAGGAATGCAGGCAGAACAAACATTGCATTTTTCCTGAGAAGGATGTCAGATTGGCAATCATTCTTCTAGCTTGTAGGAGGTCTCAGCTCCATAAAATGAGAGATGAAGAGATTTCACTGAGCCCTGTGTTGGGCCCAGATCCCTTTCGCTGTAGGAGTATCTGGAGTTCGGAGATGGTGGAAGACAGGGGTACAATGTCAGAGCTGTGAGATGCTGAGTCAACGCCTGAATCCAAGGTTTCCACCTCCCCAGGTTTCCAAAAGCGGATATAAGAGGGTTCTGTACTCACCGGTTTTGGAGCTTGGTTCAGTGGGTGAAGGCCAACTATTTGAAGGGTTTCCTAGAATATGAGACAGGAGAGAGGTGAGGAAATGAGGGTGTCTGTCCTCTACTCAGTGGAAATCTTTGAGGATGGTTCATGGCCAACACTCTGTTATCTAATATTGGGCCCTGGGAGTCCTGGGATCCTTTTTTCCATAATTTTTGTATGTGACGCCCACTGTCTTGAGACTTCAAGGTATAAAGAGAAAACAGGAGCATCACACTACCTGATCTCAAAATATGTTACAGAGCTGTAGTAAGCAAAACAGCATGACATTGGCATAAAGAAAGGCACATAGAACAATGGAGCAGAATGAATAACACAGATATATTCCATGCATTTACATCCAATGGTTTTTTATTTTTTCTTTTGAGATGGAGTCTTGCTCTGTCACTCAGGCTGGAGTGCAGAGGTGCAATCTCAGTTCACTGCAACCTCAGCCTCCTGGGTTCAATCATTCTCTTGCCTCAAACTCCTGAGTAGTGGTATTACAGGTGCTGACCACCATGCTCAGCTAATTTTTATATTTTTAGTGGAGACGATGTTTCATCACGTCGGCCAGACTGATCTTGAACTCCTGGCCTCAGGTAATCCACCCGCCTCGGCCTCCCAAAGTGCTGGAATTGCAGGTGTGAGCCACCAAGCCCAGCCCATCCAATGGACTTTGACAAAGGTGCCAAGAACTCACAATCAGGAAAGGACAGTCTTTTCAATAAACAGTGCAGGGAAACCTGGACATCTACATGCAGAGGAATGAAACTGCACCTCTACCTGTCACCATACACAAAAATCAAATGAAAATGGATTAAAGATGTGAGTCTAAGGCCTGAACCTATGAAACACGTAGAAGAAATATTGGGGAAATGCTCCAGGACGTTTGTCTGAAGGAAGACATTTTGTTTTAAACCTTGAAAACACAAGTAATCGAAGCAAAAATAGACCATTGGGATTACCTCAAACTAAGCAACTTCTGCACTGCTAAAAATAAACCAACAAAGTGAAGAGACAACCCACAGATTGGGAGCAAATATGTGCAAACTATGCATCTGAGATGGGATTAATAACTAGAAATATAAGAAGCTCAAACAACTCAATAAAACAAATGATTTAATTGAAAAAGGAGCAAAAGACATGAAATTTCCCCACATATGAAAAAGTGCTCAGTATCACTCATCATCAGAGAAATGCAAATTAAAATCAAAGTGAGTTTTCATCTCACCCCATTAAAATGGCTTTTAGGCCGGGTGAGGTGGCTCACGTCTGTCATCCTAGAACTTTGAGAGCCTGAGGTGGGTGAATCTCATAAGGTCGGGAGTTTGAGACCAGTATGACCCACATAGAGAAACGCTGTCTCTACTAAAAATACAAAAATTAGTCGGGCGTGGTGGCGTGTGCCTGTAATTCCAGCTACTCGGGAGGCTGAGGCAGGAGAATCGCTTGAACCTGGGAGGTGGAGGTTGTGGTGAGCCGAGATAGCGCCACTGCACTCCAGCCTGGGTGAGAAGAGCAAAACTCCATCTCAAAATAAAATGAAATAAATAAAATGGCTTTTAGCTGCAAGACAGGCAAAAGAAATGCTGGCAAAGTGCTAGAGAAAGGAGAACCCTGGTACCCTGTTGGGAGGAGTGTAAATTAGTACAGCGATTACGGAGAAAAGTATGGAAGTCCTTTAAAGAACTAAAAAGAGGTTGGGTGTGGTGGATCAGGCCTGTAATCCCGGCACTTTGGGAGACTGAGGCGGGCACCTCAGTTGAGGTCATGAGTTTGAGAGCAGCCCAGCCAACATGGGGAAACCGCATCTATACTAAAAAAACCAAAAAGTAGCCAGGCATGGTGGCGTGCACCTGTAATCCCAGCTACTAGGGAGGCTGAGGCAGGAAAATCATTGGAACCCAGGAGGCGGAGGTTGCAATGAGCCAAGGTCGCACCACTTTGACTCCAGCTTGGGCTAAGGAGGGAAACTCTTTCTCAAAAAAGAAAAAAAAAAAAAAGAGAACTTTCATAGTATCCAGCAATTTCACTACTGGGTTTATATCCAAAGGAAAGTAAATCAATATATCGAAGTGATATCTGCACTCGTATGATTGGTGCAGCACTGTTCACAGTAGCCAAGATGAGGAGTCAACCTACCTGCCCATCAGTGGGTGAATGGATAGAGAGAATGTAGTACATACGCACAGTGGAGACTACTCATCCATAGAAAGAATAACATCCTGTCATTTGCAGCCACATGGATGGAACTGGAGGTCATTACAAAGATTCCCATTTCTCACCCATATACAGGAGCTAAAAGGTGGATCTCATGAAGGTAGAGAGTAGAATGGTGGCTACTGGAGGGCAGGAAGAAAAGGGTGGAGGGTAAAAAAAATGTATATATATATATATATATAAATGTATTTATGACCACTAGACTTTACACTTAAAAATGGTAAATGTGGCTGGGCGTGGTGGCTCATGCCTGTAATCCCAGCACTTTGGGAGGCAGATGCGGGTGGATCACGTGGTCAGGAGTTGCAGACCAGCTCGACCAACATGGTGAAACCACCTCTCTACTAAAAATACAAAAAGTAGCCTGGCGTGGTGGTGCGCACCTGTAGCACCAGCTACTCAGGTGGCTGAGGCAGGAGAATCGCTTGAACCCAGGAGGCGGAAGTTGCAGTGAGCTGAGATTGTGCCACTGCACTCCAGCATAGGGGACAGAGCTAGACTCTGCCTCAAAAAAAAAAAAATGTTAAAGGTGGTAAGCTATATAGGTATATTTATCCTCAATAAATATTTCTTCAAACAAAAGTAAAGGGTGTAGGGGTTGCTGGTGATGACATCTCTGTGTGGGTGAGAGGCCAGGATGGGCTTCTGGGAAATGGGTAAGGTTGAGGGGCTGAGGGAACCTCTGATCTCCCCAAACTGAGCCCAGTCTCCCTCCTCTGGGTCTCTCCTGACCGCTTTCTCCATCTGCCTGGGTGCCTGGAGCCCTGGCTGCGGGCCTCCATGCAGGCCATGTAGGAGGGTTTGGAGGTGCCCTGTCGGCCATCCTGTGCCCTGATCCCTCCCTCACACCGAGGATGCATCTTCTCTCTGCATCTGTCCATGCTTCTCTCCATCCTCAGCAGGAAGCTCCTCAGCTAAGGCTCTAGGATCATAGGACATGGGACAGCCATGGGCTTTCCTCACCTGTGACAGAAACAAGCAGTGGGTCACTTGACTTTGACCACTCGTAGGGAGAGTCATGGAAAGAGCCGAAGCATCTGTAGGTTCCTCCTTGGGTGGCAGGGCCCAGAGGAAAGTCGGCCTGGAATGTTCCGTTGACCTTGGGCCCTGCAGAGAACCTACGTTCATGGGCCTCCCCCTCCGTGGATAGATGGTACATGTCATAGGAGCTCCAGGAGCTGCAGGACAAGGTCACGCTCTCTCCTGCCAGAACCGTGGGGCCCGGCTGGGCTGAGAGAGAAGGTTTCTCATATAGACCTGGAAGGAGAAGAGGCATTTTCCTTATGGAGGATCTTCCTTGTCACAGCTCCCTTCACCTGAGCTGAGAACTCACTCCCCTGCTCTATGACCTAATGCTCTCTCTCTCTCTCTCTCACCCTCCACCCCATCTCTCTTCATGTCTATTTCCTCCTTCCACCTTCTCTGTCTCTCTAGGTCTCTGACCTCGCTTCCCCACCTCTAGATATGTTTTCCGTTTTTGGATTGTTTTATTCTCTCTGACTCTCCTTGGATTGGTTGACTTGATGTTACTTTTTTAAATTCTAAGTTTCTCACTTTGTGTCCTGTTCATAACTTTCTGCATATTTCTATCTATTATCTGTTGATCTATCTATTTATCTATTCGGTGCCTATCTACAAATTCTCTACTTGTCATCTATATCTATATATCATCTATGTATCTATCACTTGTCTATCTATCCATCAATCATCTGTTATCTATATCTATGTATCATCTCTCTCTCTATGACTTCTGTCTGCCTCTCTATCTCTATGTATTATCTATCTGTCTTCATCATCATCTCTACGTCTCATCTATTAATGAATCAATCAATCATCATCTATGTATCTATAACCTAGTATCTATCATCTACCTATTTATCATCTATCTATATCTATCCATCTATCATCTGTCTTGCTCTGCCTCTCGGTCTCTCTAGTTCTCTTTGGAATCTCTGCAATTCATCCCCACATCTCCATCTTTCTATGTCCTTGTGCCTCTCCCTCAGGACTCTAATTTTAGTGCTTTTCTCTGCTCCCTTCCATCATTCTCACCACTCCTCTGCCCTCTTTTCTCTCTCTTTATGTGTCTGTGAGTCTCTCAATCTCCTTCCTCTGGCCCATTCTCTGTGTGTTTATGTCTTTGCTTTTTGGTGTTCCTGATTTTTCTCTGTGCCTCTCAGTGATCCTTTCATATGTGGGGTTATTTGGAATGTGAGCCTCAGAATCCAGTCTGGAGACTACAAGTTCACACAGCATACAGGGGTTGGTGTTCTGGGGCCATGATATCCTGGGACGAT
The DNA here is from genome assembly GCF_000001405.40 of Homo sapiens. Lineage (NCBI taxonomy): Eukaryota > Metazoa > Chordata > Mammalia > Primates > Hominidae > Homo > Homo sapiens. The sequence goes on along the minus strand of NW_016107310.1, from coordinate 74,807 downwards.
TACTCTCCATTACTTGGAAGGCAGAGGTGTCAGAATAAACACGGCATCTGTAGGTGCCAGAAGGCCTGAGGCCACAGGGCCCAACTCAGGTCAGAAATATGGGTGTCCTTGGGTTCTCCTGGTAGAGAACACTTTGTGGAGGTAAAACAGAAATGAAACTTGTAATCTGTGCCAGGTCTCTGAGCAAAGTCAGCATGGAGGGACACCTCTCTCTGGGACATGTCTGTCTGTCTGTCTCCTTTAACTCCTTCTGTCTTTTCTAACTCTCGGAATGGCCCCTGTGTCTGTCCTCTGTTATGACACCTGGTCTGTACTTGTGTCTCCTGTTTCTCTGTCTCTGTTGGTACAGACCTCACCAAGTCAGTCTCTCTCCATAAGAATACCAAGCTCATCTTCCTTACAACCACCTGGGCCTCCAAGTCCTGGATCATTCACTCTGTGTCCGAATGACAATGAGAAGAATGTCTGGACACTCTCACCTGTGATCACGATGTCCAGAGGGTCACTGGGAGCTGAAAACTGATAGGGGGAGTGAGGAACAGAACCGTAGCATCTGTAGGTCCCTGCCAGGTCTTGCCTCATGCGACCGATGGAGAAGTTGGCCTTGGAGACCCCATCAATGTGCTCTCCAATGAGGCGCAAAGTGTCGTTAAACGTCCCCTCTCTGTGCAGAAGGAAGTGCTCAAACATGACATCTGACCAACATTGCAGGATGACTGTCTCTTCTGATTTCACCAGGCGACCTGGGTGGGCCAGGAGGGAAGGTTTTCTGCGGAATCCTAGGAAGAGAGTTTGTGAATTTAGAAGGTGTCTCTCTTTATCATCCCATCCATGGCACCTGGATTGAGTGAGGCTTCCCCTCCCTGGTGTCTGTCTCTCTCCTTCCTCTCTGTGTCTTCATGTTCTTTTCTGTGCCCATAACTCCTGGTGCAGGTCCTTCCATCTGTCTCCCTCCCTCTTCTCTGTCCCTCTGTCTCTAGTAACCTCTGATTGCCTTGCCGCTGGGCTCAGCCTCATCTCTTCGGCTGTTGTATCTATTTTGAACTAATGTCTTTCCTGCTGTCTATGTGGGGGTGGAAGAGGAACCAGGATAGGCTGCACATCCAGGCTCTTAGCAGCCTGGTTCAATCTCTTTTGGACGAATTGGAATCCTTGGCAGGAGGTATGAACTGAACAGTAAGGCAGGCACCAGTGTCCACACACCCTTTTCCTGGTGGGGACTGGGAGCCACTCTTGCCATGCCTGTACCAGCTTCCATAGCCTGGCTCCTGGTGCTGGTTGGAGGAGTATCAACCGCTCCCTATGTGGATGGAGCCTGGTGGTGGCATCATAATCCCACACTTGCTGATCTTGGTGTAGCCAACCTTCTCCTTGTTTGGTTTCTTTAATTAATTAATTTTGGAGACAGAGTCTCACTCCTTTGCCCAGGCTGGAGTGAAGTGGTGTGGTCTAGGCTCACTGCAACCTCTGTCTCCTGGGTTCAAGTGATTCTCCTGCCCTCAGCCTCCCAAGTCGCTAGGATTACATGCACCTGCCACCACGCCCGGCTATCCTTGTGTCCTTTCTTAACTTTTCCTCGAGCTGGGTTCCGGTGTTGGTTTCCTGTTGCTGCTGTAGAAAATTATCAGCAGCATGGCAGCAGGAGAGAGCACACTGACCCCTTCCATTTTTGGAGGCAGAAGTCGGGCCCTGTTTTTCCTGGGCTAAAATCAAGGCACCTGCAGGGCTTCGTTCCCTCTGGAGACTCAGGAGAATCAGTTCCTTGACTTTTCCAGCCTCTATAGGCCACCTGCATTCATGGCTCCTGGCCTTCCTCCACCTTCAAAGCTGATGGAGACTCCCATTATGCTGCTCTAATCCCCACTCTCCTCTTCCTCCTCCTTTCATGTGGACCCTTGTGACTACACTGAGCCCAGGGGGACAGTCCAGGCCTTCTCCCATCTCAAGGTCAACTCATCAACAACCTGAGCTCCATCTTCCCCTTCAGTCCCTTCCCCTATAACATAAATAGTCACAGACTCCAGGGATTAGAATGTAGTCATCACTGGGGACAATTATTCTTCTCACCACAGTACCCATTTCCCTGTATTCAATCCCCCTTTACCCCAAATACAGTCAGGGCCTGCGTGAAGGGACCCTCAAGGACATGCCTACCGGAAGCTCTGGGATTCAGGAGGTGGGACAAGGAGAATCCCAGACAGGAGCCCTCTGACCTGTGACCATGATCAGCAGGGGGTTGCTGGGTGCCGACCACCCACTGGGGGAGTGTGGGTGTGAACCCCGGCATCTATAGGTCCCTGTGTGTGACGGGGTCACAGGGCCCATGAAAAGGCTTTTCCAGAATATTCTGTTGTAGTGTTCAGGGACAGGCACCCCATCATCCTTGTACAGACTGAAGTTGTTAAACCCAAGATTAGAGTGACACCGAAGAGTCACATGTTCTGGAGGCACCACAAGGCTGGGCCAGGTAGAAAGCAAGGGCTTGTCCTGACCACCTTGGGGAGAAGGAGGCGCCACCTTAGAGAGGAGGATGTGCAGCCGCCCCTCCCTCCCTGTGCTCAGAAGATTCTCCCCACTTTCCACATTTCTATGGCTGCTATCACACCTTGGTGCCTAGGGCTAAAGGAAGGACTCATCCCACAAAGACAAGGTGTCTCCCTACAACAAAAATGTCAGCTGAGAACTTTGAGCAAGTGCTGAGTAAGAGACTCCTACTAGATTTTAATACTGTAAGATTACTCACATAAAACAACACAGGGTAGACATGGGGTGGAGGGCATGTCCTTTGAGAATGGAATATCAGCAGATGCCTGAATGAAAATAAACAACTGAGCCCCCATCAGAGGATTTGGAATGTCAGGGCCATGGCTGTGGTTTCCCACCTCTTCTGGTAGAATGAGAGCAGCCACACTGCAGCCCCTACCATCATGGAAACGCTGAAGTGTGTGAGTAACACCTTTGTCCTCAGAGGATCTGCTGTTCCTACCACTTCCCCACCACACAACCCAGCTTTGAGCACCCTAGTGTAACCCTGGTCCCCACAGAACTTGACTCTGCCAAGGAAATGAAAGGCTGGGGAGGCGAGGTCGGAACTGTGGGCCAAGCACCCCAGGGTCCCCTCTTTCTAGTTTAAGAGAGACTCCCCGACAGGACTTCCCTCCCGTTTCAGGAAAATCCTCTTATGTGGGGAGATGACACCTTAAGGTTTGGAGAAGGACTTACCCTCATGTGGCCAGGCCCCCTGCAGCCAGAAGAACCCTGGAAAGAAAGACCATGATGGACCATCCATCTGCAGGCAAACCAGGCCTCCCTTGCTATCCCCACTAGGCTGTGAGTCTTGGTAGCCAGGCCCTTCCTGGGCCGAAGGGAAACTCACCCTCAGTGCCTACCTGCACCCAAGAACAGGGCTCTCGGCTGTGCAGAGACCCAGCCTCCAGGCCCATATCCCCACCCCAAGCCCATATCTCCACTCCAGGCACATATCTCCACTCCAGGCTGATATTCCCACCCTAGGCCCATATAGCCAATCTGGGCCCACATCTGCAATCCAGGCTCAGATCTCCACCCCAGGCCCATAACTCCAGTCCAGGCCCATATCTCCACTCCAGGCCCATATCTCCTCTCCAGGCCCATATCTCCACTCCAGGCCCATATCTCCACCCCGGGCCCAGATCTCCACCTCCAGGCCCATAACTACATTCCAGGATCATATCTCCACTCCAAGCCCATATCTCCACAACAGGCCCATATCTCCACTCCAGTCCCATATCTCCACCCCACGCCCATATCTCCATTCCAGGCCCATATCTCCACTCCAGGCCCATATCTTCACCACACGCCCATATCTCCACTCCAGGCCCATATCTCCACCCCACGCCCATATCTCCACTCCAGTCCCATATCTCCACTCCACGCCCATATCTCCACTCCAGTCCCATATCTCCACCCCATGCCCATATCTGCACTCCAGTCCCATATCTCCACCCCACACCCATATCTCCACTTCAGTCCCATATCTCCACTCAAGGCCCATATCTCCACCCCACGCCCATATCTCCGCTCCAGGCCCATATCTCCACTCCAGGCCCATATCTCCAACCTCCAGGCCCATATCTCCACTCCAGGCCCATATCTCCATCTCCAGGCTCATATCTCCACTCTAGGCCCATATCTCCACTCCAGGCCCTTATGTCCACCTCCAGGCCCATATCTGCACTCCAGACCCACATCTCCACTCCAGGCCCATATCTGCACTCCAGGCCCCTATCTCCACTCCAGGGCCATATCTCCACTCCAGGCTCATATCTCCACTCCAGGCCCATATCTCCAATCCAGGCCCAGATCTCCACTCCAGGCCCAGATCTCCACCTCCAGGCCCATATCTCCACTCTAGGCCCATATCTCCACTCCAGGCTCATATCTCCACTCCAGGTCCATATCTCCACCTCCAGGCCCATATCTCCACTCCAGGCCCATAACTCCACCTCCAGGCCTATATCTCCACCTCTGGGCCCAGATCTCCATCCCCGCGCTCCCTCCCTCTATTCCCTTCCAGGACTCACCAACACATGCCATGCTGATGACCATGAGCGACATGGTGGTGCCGGAGCAGACAGGCGGCCGCACCCCTAGCTCAGCTCAGCAGCGCACAGGATGTTATTTGGCTCCCTGCCCATGCAGTTTACATGTTGACCACATCATGGGAGGGTGACGTACGCAGGCTCTTTCTACCTTTCATGAGGCCCAGTGGGTGCTCGCTCAAGAGCAGAACACGGCTTCCTGGAAATTGTTCTCACTAGAATTTACACCTCGTGTCCTTCACTATGACCAACTCAAAACACGTCTCAGATCCAACCTCCTGAACACAGGATGCCTAAAATCTGTGCTAACGTGAAAAACTTTTCATGTATTTTTATTGTTTTTATCTGAGATTCAAACTCTTCTTCATGTGTAATATGCAAAATATCTAATAGGTATTATTAATGTTTTCAGAGTCATTGTGACTAATAAACCATTAGAATTTTTCATGCTTGTATTTCTAGTATTACAGCAGAACCAGTTAAAATGATTTAAATTCCCAGGGAAGGATTATGCAATTATTTACAATCTTCGAATTGTACTTTATCAGCAAAAACCACACATGTAAATTCTGGATTTTTATAGTTTTATCTATAATTTGTCTCATGACCCAAGATTCCAGAGTCCCAACTCTGGAGTTTGCTCTCTCTCTGTCTCTGTCCCTCCCTCATTTTAAATTTTACAGAAATATCCAGTAACATAATGCTATAGAAAATCAAGTTTCCCCCAGCATGTTGGGAAGCCGCGGTGGGCGAATCAACTGAGATGAGGAGTTTGAGAGCAGCCTGGCCAACATAGTGAAACCGTGTCTCTGCTAAACATTCAAAAATTAGCCGTGCCTGGTGGCAGACACCTGTAATGCCAGCTACTCAAGAGGCTGAGGCACGAGAATCGCTTGAACCTGGGAGGCGGAGTTTGCAGTGAGCTGAGATTGCACTACTACAGTCCAGCCTGGGTGACAGAGCAAGATTCCGCCTTAAGAAAAAAAAAATAGCAAGTAGCCTATAATAACAAATTAGAGGGCTCTGGCTACTAAATTTAAAGGGTTCTATAAGGCTACATGAAGTGCAGCATCCTCAAGAGTGTGGACACAGAGAGCCCCTTAGCAGAAACAGTGTCTAAAATACATCCGTGTACACACAGTCCCTTTAGAGTTGACAAAGGCTGCCCTGTGGTTTAAGGTGGCATAGAATGTCTTCTCAATAAATAATATTAAACCAAAGGGTTACACGTAGGAAAAAATAAATCTAAACTTATTCTCACACTATAAAAACACTTCTTGTTTTTATCTAGTTTATAATTTTTTTATGATTTATATTTAAAATTGAGAAATAACAGTTTTATACGGTCATCCTTCACTATTCCTGGGTGATTGGTTTCAGGATCTCCACTCAGATACCAAAATCTGCAGATGCTCAAGCCTCTTACATGAAATGGCACAGCATTTGCATATAACCCATGCACATCCTCCTGTGTACATGAAATCATCTCTAGATTACTTATAATTCCTGATATGGCCTACACACTGCTTCATTTGTGTCCCTTCAACATAGTTTTGCTTTTTGAAAGTTTGTGGATTTTCTTCTCTGAATATTTTTTATTTATAGTTGGTTCAATAAACACCTGTAAACCCCACAGATACGGAGGAGCGACTGTATATATATATATAGCATGAAAGATGATGTGTTGATATGTGTCCCCATGGAGATGAGACTAACAAGGCCTATGACTCTACAAATGTTTCATCGTGGAATGACTCTGCCAGCTTTCCAGGTCTGCAGAGAGTAAGAATATCACTTGTTCATGTGATTCATGATCCTTGGAACCTCCTATGTGCTGCATCTTTGGATGGAAATTGGAGTCCCAGAGACAAATGAGGCTCCACCCTGCTTCCAGAAGCTCAGAGTCCAGGGGAGAGAACCCAGTGGATAACAGATGGGGTTATGTGGACATGGTAATGATAACAGCGGTTTCTTTCAGCGAATAGTGTCACATTACCTAAAGCAATGAGGGCAGACATGTTTATTTGAAAAGGAGACAGCTACATTGAAATCACAAAAAATTTTATAAGTTTCACTGCTGACTGACAGAAGGCTGGAAAATAGTCTGAGGAAAGGTGAAACAGCATGAGGGAAGGTGGAACAGCACGTGTCTCAGTGCCATGTTAAGAGGGAGCCTCTTGTATGTCTGGAATTGTGAGTTCCTCAGTGTGATTGCAGCCTCAAGTAGACTAGGAAGTAAGCCAGTTCAGTTGGAGAGGTGGGCAGGGGTCAAGTGAAATAGAGAATTGTGGGCTAAGCAAAGGTGTGTGTCTTCTCTCCAGCAGGCAGTGGGGACCTTAGACATTTGTAAGCAAGAGAGAGGCATGTTCAGATTTGTGGTGTGAGGAAGAGCGATCCCCTAAGATGAAGACTGATGCCTTCAGATTCCAGCTGCTGGTACATGGGAGCTAGCAACCCGGTTTTGAGACAGGGCTGTTGTCTCCCTAGAAGATCCCCTCAAGGCCTGACTGTGGTGCTTATGGGCAGGAGACAATGATCTTGGCTTAGCATTTGGAAGTTCCATGTACATGGTGGTATCTGTTGGAGGTGTCTTGGGCCTCTGAGAAGGGGAAGTGATTTTTGTCTGTGTGAAAACGCAGTGATCCAACTGTGCATATGTCACCTCCTGAGGGTCTTGATCATCAGAGTCCTGGAGAGAGGGAAATGCTGAGTGAGGGAGGGTGCTCACATTCTTCAAGACTATTAGGGAATGAGACTCAATCCATGAGGCTGGGCTGAGGAGAACCTACCTCCCTGTTCACTGTTCTGTCCCCGGCAGGCTCTTGGTCCATTACAGCAGCATCTGTAGGAGATAGAAGTCATCAAAACAGCTGGAAGGGCACTTTTGGGTCCTCATTTCATGAGCAGACACCAACACACAGCGGGAGGCCGTAGGTGCCTGAGGTCCCTCAGCTGTCATCAGCCAGACCCAGACATTCTATCTCTCTGAGCTCAAGGACCCATCCCATGAATAGCTCTGAGTTCCCATCCCAGTGATTCTGTCTCCCCTTTCTGCCTGTCATGGAACCTTCTCCTGGATGTCAGTGGCTGCAGGGGACGTGAGGATACAGTTCAGAATCAGGCAATGGTCTGTGAGCTGAAGGCAGGGGCAGGGTGTCTGGTGCTCTCTCTAGAAAGCCCTGCCTCTGTGGCTCCTGCCTTGGTCCAGGGACCATCCTGCCAGTCAGGAACACACACCAGTGTGCTCCCATCCTGCTTCCCCACATGGTCCTGAGCTCTCTGACCTCTGCTTCGTGAGACTTACTCTTTTTGTTGGAGCAGCAGCAATGAAGGAGAAAGAAGAAGAGGATGATGAAGAGGATGATAGCCACTGAGGTCCCAATCAGAATGTGCAGGTGTCTGCGGATACCTGGGGGAAGGTGGGAATCCAATAAGAAGCTAATTATAGCAGTTCCTCTTTATGGATTGTCTCTCATTTCTTGGTTGCCAGCTAAGCACATACAACATCTGTTTAGGACAAGTTCCCCGATGGCAGGATACCCAGCTTTCTCCTGCTTTCTCAGTTATAGTTCTCAAAATAATCAGAGAACATGCTGGGGATACCACTGCTATAGTTTGAATGTTTGACCCCGCCAAACCTCACGTTGACACTTATCTCGCAGTGTGGGAGGCTGGGCCTATTGAGAGACGTTCCAGTTATGGGGGTGGATCCATCATGAATACATTAATGCTGTCCCCATGAGACGTGGTTGGCAAGTTCTCCATGAGGTCCCTAGGACTGGTTGCTAAAAAGAGCATGGGGTTTCTCCATGTTGGCCAGGCTGGTCTCAAACTCCTGACCTCAAGTGATCCAAACGCCTTGGCCTCCCAAAGTGTTGGGTTACAGGCGTAAGCTCCCATTCACAGACTTGTATATTATGCTATAATAAGTCCCTTCATTTGCACCACCCCTCATCTATCTATCACTCCTCTGCCAGATATTGATTTACATGTAGGAAAAATAAATCTCAGAAAGAAATTAATATATTCAAAATTAAATAAGTAGGCATTATCAAATCCAGCAAGACCTCCCTACAAATGATTCTACCTCACAGACATATCTTATACCCATCTACTTCATTCATTTAGTGTCTAAATCAGCACCACATTTCACCAGTGGGGCGGGAATTGCCTTTTCCACGGTCTCCTAGATTCCAGTTACGCACTTGGGCGTCCCTTATTTTCATGTCAGTCATATTAATCATGTAGGGATTCCTGGTTACCCCGAGGTGAATCCAATGGCTGTGAGTGTCAAACACACGCTCCTTGTTGCTCCTTAGTTTCCTGTGTACCCAGTGTGCTCTCCGTCTCCCTACAGTCATCTTGTCATTCTCCCCACGTCATTCCCAGCATTTGAATGCAGAGCCTCTTCCTTCCACATCAGATTGTTTTCACATTTGTGCCTTCACGGCTGACAGCTGTGTGTGGAAAATCCTTCCGCCCATCTTCCAGGGGTTGAATCTACTTTTTTTTTTCATTATGGTCACAAATATTATCTGATTAGTGAGACTTTCTCTGTCTCCTGAAATTATACACTTAGAATTCTTTATTATTTATTTTAAATTTCGGCTGGGCGCAGTGGCTCACGCCTTGAGTCCCAGCATTTTGGGATGCTGAGACGGTCGGATCACTTGAGGTTGGGAGTTGGAGACAATCTGCGCAACATGGTGAAACTCCATCTCTACTAAAAAATATAAAAGAAAATTAGCTGGGTGTGGTGGAGGGGACTGGAATCACAACTAGTCAGGAGGCTGAGGCAGGAGAATCGCCTGAACCCGGGAGGCGGAGGTTGTGGTGAGCTGAGGTCATGCCACTGCACTCCAGCCCGGGGACAGAGAATGACTTCGCCGCAAATAAATAAATACATAAATAGATAAATAGATAAATAAATAGGTAAATAGATTTCATGCACGGATGCTTCCCAATGGATCAATCATTACTGGTCCACTTGTGCATTCATATTCTGCCCTCCCATTTGCCCATCTGCAATGTCAGTGTCCTAAGAGCAGAGGCCAAATGCATCGTGTTTACCATTTGTGGAAGGCAGGAGAATGCTGGCCCACCCCCAAAATGTCCCTGTCCTAGCCTCCATAGCTTGTGAATATGTTATTTTACATGAAAGGAGGAATAAAGATTGCAGATGGAATTATGGTTGCTAATCAGCTGAACTTAAAAAGAGGTTATCTTGGGTGATTTTAGGGAGATTGTGATGGATTATCTTGGTAAACTCAATAGAATCCCAAAGTCTTTAAAAGAGGAAGAAAAAGTCAGAGCAACACTTAGAGAAAGAGGTGAGGTAAGGAAGAGGGATCTGAGTGATGCCACGTGAGAGATGTGACGAGCTTTTGTGGACTTCGAGGAAGGAGGATGGGGACCAGATGCCAAGGAACGTGGGAACCTCTGGGAGCTGGGAAATGTGAAAAGCCGATTCTCGCCTGGAACCTTCAGAGAAAAGGCAGCCTCGCAGTCACCTTGATTTTAGCCCAGTGAAATGCATTTCATATTTCTGAGCTATAACACTGTAAGATAATTTTAAAAGCTGTGTTGTTGTCATCCATGAAGTTTGTGGAGATTTATTATGGCAACAGCAGGAAAGGGTTCCACACTGTACAGTCAGAGCACAGGGCAGTGGCTGAATAAGTGAGTGAGTGGAAGTGTCATATTCGTGGATGAACTACGTTCCTTCTTACTGCAAGGCTCTTGCTCTGCTGACTCAGCCAAGGTCGCATCATGACCAACAGGGGCTCATTCCTTGGCAAGTGGAACTTCTCTAAATCACCTTTCCCTCATCAGATGTTCCCTTCCCCTCCCTCTCTCAAGTCCCCTCGAATTTATCCTCCAATTTGGAATGCAGGCAGAAAAAACACCACATTATCCCTGAGAAGGATGTCAGATTTGTACTCGTCCGTCTAGCTTGGAGGAGGTCTCAGCTGCAGAAATTTGAAATGAAGAGACTTCACTGAGCCCTTTGCTGTCCTCAGATACCCTTCGCTGTTGTAGTGTCTGGGGGTCAGAGATGTTAGAAGACAGGCCCACAATCACAGAGCTGGGAGGTGCTGAGCCAATGCTTGAATCCAAGATACCAACCTCCCCAGGTTTCCAAAAGCAGAGATAAGAGGGATCTTTACTCACCAGTTTTGGAGCTTGGTTCAGTGGGTGAAGATGAACTACTTGAAGAGTTTCCTAGAACACAGGACAGGAGAGAGGTGAGGAAATGAGGATGCCTGTCTTCTACTCAAAGGAAATCTTTGAGGTTGGTTCATGGCCAACACTCTGTTATCTAATGTTGGGCCCTAGGAGTCCTGGCGTCCCCTTCTCCATCATCATTGTTAAATGATGCCCAGTGTCCTGAGATTTCGAGGTATAAAGACAAAACAGGTGCTGGAGGCCTCACACTCCCTGACTTAAAAATATGTTACAAAGCTGTAGTAAGCACAACAGCATGACATTGGCATAAAGGCCCTTAGAGCAATGGAGCAGAATGAAGAACACAGATATAATTCATGCATTCACATCCAATGGACTTTGACGATTGTAGGTGCCAAGAACCTGCAATCAGGAAACGACGGTCTTTTCAATAAATGGAGCAGGGAAAACTGGTATCTACATGCAGTTGATGAAACTGCACCTCTACCTCTCACCATACACAGAAATCAAATGAAAATGGAAGAAACACTTAAGGCCTGAAACCATTAAGCGTCTAAAAGGAAAGAGTGGGGAAATGCTCCAGGACATTTGTCTGAGGAAAGACATTTTATTTGAAATCTCAAAAACACAAGAAATCAAAACAAAATAATAGACCTTCGGGATTACATCAAAGTAAGCAGCTTCTGCACCGCAAAGGAAGCAACCAACAAAGTGAAGAAGAGACAAATTGGGAGAAAATATTTGTGAAGTATGCATCTGAGAGGGGATTAATAACTAGAATATACATAAAACTCAAGCAACGGTATAAAACAATGAATTTAATTTAACAATTAGTAAAAGACCTGAACAGACATTTCTCAACAAACAAAACGTACAAATGGCGAACATGTACATGAAAAAGTGCTCAGTATCACTAATCATGCCAATTGAAATCACAGTGAGCTATCATCTCATCCCATTAAAGTGGCTTTTATCTGAAACACAGACAAAATGAATGCTGGCAAGGTGGTAGAGAAAGGAGAACCCTGGTACCCTGTTGATAGGATCTAGCAATTCCACTACTGGGTGTAAACCCAAAGGGAAGGACATCAGTGTATCGAAGTGATATCTGCACTCATACGATTGGTGCAGCACTGTTCACAGTAGCCAAGATGTGGAGTCAACTTACCTGCCCGTCAGTGGGTGAATGGATAGAGAGAATGTAGTACACACACACAGTGGAGAGTACTCATCCGTAGAAAGAATAACATCCTGACATTTGCAGCCACATGGATGGAACTGGAGGTCATTGCAAAGATTCCCATTTCTCACCCATATACAGGAGCTAAAAGGTGGATCTCATGAAGGTAGAGAGTAGAATGGTGGCTACCAGAGGGCAGGAAGTAAAGGGTGGAGTGTAACAACAACAATAAAAAAGAATATAGATGTATTTATTTATTTAGAGACAGAATCTCTCTCTGTCTCCCAGGCTGCAGTGCAGTGGCCTGATCTCAGCTCAGTGCAACCTCTGCCTCCTGGGCTTACGTACTTCTCCTGCCTCAGCCTCCCATGTAGCTAGGAATACAGGTGCATGCCAGCATGCCCAGCCAATTTTTCTTGTCTGTTTAGTAAAGATGAATTTCCCTCATGTTGGCCAGGCTGATCTCGAGCCTCTGATCTTAAATGATCCACCTTCCTTGGCCTCTCAAAGCACCGAGATTATAACTGTGAGCCACTGCACCCTGCATATAAAGGAATTTATGACCACTAGATTTTACTTTTAAAAATGGTAAAGGTGGCAAATTATATAGTTACATTTAACCTCAATAAATGTTTTTTCAAACGGAAAGAAAAGGGTGTAGGGGTTGCTGGTGATGACATCTCTGTGTGGGTGAGAGGCCAGTATGGGCTTCTGGGAAATGGGTAAGGTTGAGGGTCTGAGGAGCCTCTGATCTCCCCAAACTGAGCCGAGTCTCCCTCCTCTGGGTCTGTCCTGACCACTTTCTCCATCTGCCTGGGTGCCTGGAGCCCTGGCCGCGGGCCTCCATGCAGGCCGTGCAGGAGGGTTTGGAGGTGCCCTGTCTGCCATCCTGTGCCCTGATCCCTCCCTCACACCATGCTGCGTGTTCTCTCTGCATCTGTCCATGCTTCTCTCCATCATCAGCAGGAAGCTCCTCAGCTAAGGCTCTAGGATCACAGGACATGGGACAGGCATGGGCTTTCCTCACCTGTGACAGAAACAAGCAGTGGGTCACTCGGGTCTGACCACTCATAGGGTGAGTCATGGAGAGAGCTGAAGCATGTGTAGGTCCCTCCGTGGGTGGCAGGGCCCAGAGGAAAGTCAGCCTGGAATGTTCCATCGACGCTGGGCACTGCAGGGAGCCTAGGTTCATGGGCCCTCCCCTCCCTGGATAGATGGTACATGTCAAATGAGCTCCTGGAGCTGCAGGACAAGGTCACGTTCTCTCCTGTGCGAACCGTGGGGCCCGGCTGGGCTGAGAGTGAAGGTTTCCCAAATAGACCTGGAAGAAGAGGCAGTTTCCTCAGGGAGGTTCTTCCTTGTCACAGCTCCCCTCACACCTGAGCTGAGAACTCACTCCCCTGCTCTATGACCTAATGCTCTCTCTCTCTCTCACCCTCCACCCCCGACTCTCCCTGTGGATCCCTCCCTATGCAGCTCCAGCCTGGTGGTGGCATCAGCAGTGCACCCTTGCTGACCTTAGGGTAGCCAACCCTCTTGTTTGGTTTTTTAACTTGTCCTTGACCTGGATTCCTGTGTTGTTTCCTGTTGTTGCTGCAGAAAATTATCACAAACACGGCGGCGGGAGAGAACACTTCTGTTGACAGAAATCAGACCCTGTTCTTCCTGGGCTACAATCAAGGCATCTGCAGGGCTGCATTCCCTCTGGAGACTCGGGAGAATCAGTTCCATTGACTTCTCCAGCCCCTAAAGGCCACCTGCATTCCGTGGCTTCTGGCCTTCCTCCACTTTCAAAGCCCGCAGTGGCTGGTGGACTCTCCCTCCCACTACGCTGCTCTAATCCCCACTCTCCTCTTCCTCCTCCTCTCATGTGGACCCTTGTGATTACACTGAGCCCAGTGGGAGAGTCCAGGTCGTCTCCCCATCTCAAGGTCAACTCATCAACAACCTGAACTCCATCTTCCCCTTCAGTCCCATGTCCTATAACATAAATAGTCACAGGCTCCAAGGATTACAATATAGCCATGCTGCCGACAGTTACTCTTTCCACCACAGCACCCATTCCCCTGTATTCAATCCCCATTGACACCAAATACAGTCAGGGCCTGGATGATTGGACCCTGGTGGACACCCCCACCAGATGCTCTGGGATTCAGGAAGTGGGAGAAGGAGAAGCCCAGACATGAGTCCTCTGACCTGTGACCACGATCACCAGGGGGTTGCTGGGTGCCGACCACTCAATGGGGGAGCGCGGGTGTGAACCCCGACATCTGTAGGTCCCTGCGTGTGCAGGGGTCACAGGGCCCATGAGGATGCTCTTCCAGAATATTTTGTTGTAGAGCTCAGGGACAGGCACCCCATCTTCTTTGTACAGACTGAAGATGGTAAACCCAAGACGAGAGCGACACAGAAGAGTCACATGTCCTCCTCGAGGCACCACAGCGCTGGGCCAGGCAGACAGCAAGGGCTTGTCCTGTCCACCTGGGGGAGAAGGAGGCGCCACCTTAGAAAGGAGGATGTGGAGCCGCCCCTCCCTGCCAGTGCTCAGAAGATTCTCCCCACTTTCCTCGTTTCTAAGGCTCCTACCACACTTGGGTGCCCATGGCTACGGGAAGGACCCACCCCGCATAGACTTGGCGTCTCTCTACAACAAAAGTGTCAGCTGAGAACTTTGAGCAAGTGCTGAGTAAGGGACTCCTACTAGATTTTAATACTGCAAGATTACTCACATAAAACAACACAAATAGACATGGGGTCGAGGGCATGTTCTTTGTGAATGGAATATCAGCCAATGTGTGAACCAGAATACACAACTGAGCCCCCAACAGAGGATTTGGAAGGTCAGGGCCCTGGCTGGGGTTCCCCCACCTCTGAGGTAGAATGACAGCAGCCACACTGCAGCCCCTACCGTCATGGAAACGCTGGAGGGTGTGAGTTACACCTTTGTCCTCAGAGGCCTGCTGTTCCTAGCACTGCTTTGCTCCCTTCCTCTGCCAGTGACACCACATCCCAGCCGCACAGCCCAGCTTGGAGGACCCCAGTCTACCCTCCCGGGTTCCCACAGAACCTGACTCAGCCAAGGGAAAGGAAGGCTGGGGAGGGCAAGGTCGGAACTGTGGGCTGAGCACCCCAGGGTCTCCTCATCCTTGTTTATAAGAAAATCCCCCACCGGGCTTCCCTCCTGTTTCAGGAAAATCCTCTTATGTGGGGAGATGACACCCGAAGGTTTGGAGAAGGACTCACCCTCATGTGTCCAGGCCCCCTGCAGCAAGAAGAACCCTGGAAAGAAAGATCATGATGGACCATCCATCTGCAGGCAAACCAGGACTCCCTTGCTGCCCCCACTGGGCTGTGAGTCTTGGTAGCCAGGCCCTTGCTGGGCTGAAGGGAAACTCACCCTCAGTGCCAGCCTGCACCCAAGAACAGGGCTGTCGGCTGTGTAGAGACCCAGCCTGCAGGCCCATATCCGCACCCCAGGCCCCTATCCCCACCCCAAGCCCATATCTCCACTCCAGGCCCATATCTCCACTCCAGGCCAATATTTCCACCCTAGACCCATATCTCCAATCCAGGCCCATATCTCCACCCCAAGCCCATATCTCCACACCCAGGCCCATATCTCCATCCTAGGCCCATATGTCCACTCCAGGCCCAGATATCCACCTCTAGGCCCATGTCTCCACCTCCAGGCCCATATCTCCACCTCCAGGCCCATGTCTCCACTCCAGGCCCATATCTCCATCCCAGGCCAATATCTTCACTCCAGGCTCATATCTCCCCTCCAGGTTCCTATCTCCACTCCAGGCCCAGATCTCCACTCCAGGCCCATATCTCCACCTCCAGGCCCATATCTCCACTCCAGACCCAGATCTCCACTTCTAGGCCCATCACTCCATCTCCAGGCCCATATATCCACTCCAGGCCCAGATCTCCACTCCAGGCCCATAACTCCACCTCCAGGCCTATATCTCCACCTCTGGGCCCAGATCTCCATCCCCGCGCTCCCTCCCTCTATTCCTTTCCAGGACTCACCAACACACGCCATGCTGACGACCATGAGCGACATGGTGCTGCCGGTGCAGACAGGCAGCCGCGCCCCAGCTCAGCTCAGCAGCGCACAGGATGTTATTTGGCGCCCTGCCCATGCAGCTTACATGTTGACTACATCATGGGAGGGTGACGTACGCAGGCTCTTTCTACCTTGCATGAGGCCCAGTGGATGCTTGCTCAAGAGCGGAACACGGCTTCCTGGAAATTGTTCTCACTAGAATTGGCACCTCACGTCCTTCACTATGACCAACTCACAACACGTCTCAGATCCAACCTCCCGAACACAAGATGCCTAAAATCTGTGCTAACGTGAAAGACTTTTCATGTATTTTTATCCGAACACGAGATGCCTAAAATCTGTGCTAACATGAAAGACTTTTCATGTATTTTTTTTGTTTTTATCTGAGATTCAAACTCTTCTTCCTGTGTAATATGCAAAGTATCTAATAGGTATTATTAATGTTTTCGGAGTCATTGTGACTAATAAACCATTAGAATTTTTCATGCTTGTATTTCTAGTATTACAGCAGAACCAGCTAAAATGATTTAAATTCCCAGGGAAGGATTATGCAATTATTTACAATCTTAGAATTGTACTTTATCAGCAAAAACCACACCTGTAAATTCTGGAGTTTTGTAGTTTAATCTAAAATTTGTCTCATGACCCAAGATTCCAGAGTCCCAACTCTGGAGTTTGCTCTCTGTCTGTCTCTCTCCCTCCCTCGTTTTAAATTTTACAGAAATATCCAGTAACATAATGCTATAGAAAATCAAGTTTTCCCCAGCACGTTGGGAAGCCGAGGTGGGCGGATCAACTGAGATAAGGAGTTTGAGAGCAGCTTGGCCAATATAGTGAAACCGTGTCTCTGTTAAAAATCCAAAAATTAGCCGTGCCTGGTGGCAGGCACCTGTAACGCCAGCTGCTCAAGAGGCTGAGGCACGAGAATCGCTTGAACCTGGGAGGCGGAGGTTGCAGTGAGCTGAGATTGTGTCACTGCAGTCCAGCCTGGGCGACAGAGCAAGACTCCGCCTCAAGAAAAAAAAAGCAAACAGCCTATAATAACAAATTAGAGGGCTCTGGCTACTAAATTTAAAGGGTTCTATAAGGCTACATAAAGTGCAGCATCATCAAGAGTGTGGACACAGAGAGCCCCTTAGCAGAAACAGTGTCTAAAATACATCCATGTACACACAGTCCCTTTAGAGTTGACAAAGGCTGCCGTGTGGTTTAAGGTGGCATAGAATGTCTTCTCAATAAATAATATTAAACCAATTGGTTACACCTAGGAAAAAATAAATCTAACTCACACTATAAAAACACTTCTTAGTTTTTATCTAGTTGTACATTTTTTATGATTTATATTTAAATTTGAGAAATAAAAGTCATATACGGTCATCCTTCACTATTCGTGGGTGATTGGTTTTGAGATCTCCACTCAGATACCAAAATCTGTAGATGCTCAAGCCTCTTATATGAAATGGCACAGAGTTTGCAAATAACCTATGCACATCCTCCTGTATACATGAAATCATCTCTAGATTACTTATAATTCCTGATACAGCCTACACACAGCTTCATTTGTGTCCATTCAACATAGTTATGCTTTTTGAAACTCTGTGGATACTTTCTCTCAATATTTTTGATTTATACTTGGTTCAATAAACACCTGTAAACCCCGCAGATATGGAGGAGTGACCGTATATTTATATTATGAAAGATGATGTGTTGATATGTGTCCCCATGGAGATGAGACTAACAAGGCCTATGATTCTACAAATGTTTCATTGTGGAATGACTCTGCCAGCTTTCCAGGTCTGCAGAGAGTAAGAGTATCACTTGTTCATATGATTCGTGATCCTTGGAACCTCCTATGTGCTACATCTTTGGATGGAAATTGGAGTCTCAGAGACAAATGAGGCTCCACCCTGCTTCCAGAAACTCAGAGTCCGGGGATGAGAACTCAGTGGGGAACAGATGGGATTATATGGACATGGTACTGATAACACCGGAAGCCTTAGGCAAGAAAAGAGTCCCATTACCGAAACCATGGGGGCAGACATGTTTATTTGAAGGATGGAAAACTACATTGAAGTTATTTTAAAAAATATATAAGTTTTACTGCTGACAGAAGACTGAAAGCTAGTCTGAGGGGAGGTGGAACAGCATGAGGGAAGGTGGAACAACACGTGTCTAAGTGCTGCGTTAAGAGGGAGCCTCTTGTATGTTTGGAATTGTGAGTTCCTCAGTGTGATTGCAGCCTCAAGTAGACTAGGAAGTAAGCCAGTTAGGTTGGAGAGGTGGGCAGGGGTCAAGTGAAATGGAGAACTGTGGGCTAAGCAAAGGAGTGTGTTTTTTCTCCAGCAGGCAGTGGGGACCTTAGACATTTGTAAGCAAGTGAGAGGCACATTCAGATTTGTGGTGTGAGGAAGAGCGATGCCCTAAGATGCAGACTCATGCCTTCAGATTCCAGCTGCTGGTACATGGGAGCTGGCAACCCGGTTTTGAGACAGGGCTGTTGTCTCCCTAGAAGACGCCCTCAAGGCCTGACTGTGGTGCTCATGGGCAGGAGACAACTTTGGATCTGGACTCAGCATTTGGAAGTTCCGCGTACACGATGATATCTGTTGGGGGTGTCTTGGGCCTCTGAGAAGGGCGAGTGATTTTTCTCTGTGTGAAAACGCAGTGATTCAACTGTGTGTATGTCACCTCCTGAGGGTCTTGTTCATCAGAGTCCTGGAGAGAGGGAAATGCTGAGTGAGGGAGGGTGCTCACATTTTCCAGGACTCTTTGGGAATAACAGTAGCCACGAGCCCGGGCCGAGGAGTACCTACCTCGCTATTCGCTGTTCTGTTCCCTGCAGACTCTTGGTCCATTACCGCAGCATCTGTAGGAGACGGAAGTCAACAAAACAGCTCGGAGGGCACTTCTGGGTCCTCATTTCATAAGCAGATACCAACATACAGGGGGAGACCATAGGTGGCTGAGGTCCCTCAGTTGCCAACAGCAGACTCAGACATTCTATCTCTCTGAGCTCAAGGACCCATCCCATGAATAGCTCTGAGTTCCCATCCCATTGATTCTGTCTCCCACTTTCTGCCTGTCATGGAACCTTCTCCTGGATGTGAGTGGCTGCAGGGGACATGAGGATACAGTTCAGAATCAGGCAACGGTCTGTGAGTTGAAGGCAGGGGCAGGGAGTCTGGTGCCCTCTCTAGAAAGTCCTGCCTCTGTGGCTGCTGCCTTGGGCCAGGGACCATCCTGTTTGTGAGGAACACACACCTGAGTGCTCCCATCCTGCTTCCCCACATGGCCCTGAGCTCTCTGGCCTCTGCTTCGTGAGACTTACTTTTTTTGTTGGAGCACCAGCGATGAAGGAGAAAGAAGAGGAGGATGAAGAGGATGATGACCACTGAGGTCCCAATCAGAATGTGCAGGTGTCGGGGGTTACCTGGAAGAAGATGAGACACCAATAAGAAGCTAATCTTAGCAGTTCCTCTTTATGAATTGTCTCGCATTTCTTGATTGACAGGTAACCACATAAAACATCTCTTTAGGACAAGCACCCAGATGGCAGGAGACCCAGCTTTCTCCTGCTTTTTCAGTTATAGCTCTCATAGTAACCATAGAACGTGCTGAGGATACGACTACTTTAGTTGAGATGTTTGACCCCTTCAAACCTCACATTGAAATTTCACCCCCACTGTGGGAGGTTGGGCCTCTTGAGAGGTGTTTGGGTCATGGAGGTGGATCCATCATGAACACATCAATGCTGTCCCAAGGAGACGGGGTTAGCAAGTTCCCCCTCTATTAGTTCCCGGAGAGCTGGTTGTTAAAAAGAGCTTGGAAGCTCCATCACTCCCCCTCCCCCTTGCTCCCTCTCTTGCCGTGTGATCTCTGTGGTCTCTGCACAGACAGACCCTCCTTCCCTTCTGCCAGAGTGGGAGCAGCCTGAGGCCGTCACGAGAAATAGATGCTGGTGCCATGCTTCCAGTACAGCCTGCAGAACGGTGAGGCAAACCAATCTCTTTTCTTTAGAAGTTACCGAGGCTCAAGTGTTCCTTTAGAGCAACAAAAATGGCCTAAGACAGCAACTTCCTGAGATCAGGAGGAACGTCTCAGAACACCCTGGGCTGTCTTCCTGTTCTTCCTGGAGGACGTCATGCAGTGCTTTAGCTGAGTGCTTCCTGTGGCTCCAGGGTACAAAACCCAGGCTGGGCTGCTTTCTGGCTTCCCGCAGCTACACTGCAAATGGGGTGACTCCATATGTCCCGAGGAGCTTTTCTGAGCCTTGAGGGACTGGCTCACATTGAAATATAGGTTTCTGTTGTCACTCGCTGCTTATCTGTTAGTAATGAACCTGCCTATGTAACGTATTCTCTGTGTGTTCTGTCTCCCTGGAGTGACGGTGAGTGATAGGAATTGGCATAGGCCCAGGTGCAGTCCAGGAGGTGTTTAGAGTCTTCTCTGGGAAGACTGGACTGGGATTGATTCACAGCGAATGTGCTTTAGGGTTTCTACATCCACAGCATTCTTGAATCAAACAACTTGCATTCTCCAAGGAAAGAAAACAAAAGTGAAATCAAGATAAAAAAAGCGAAATAGAATTCTCTTATGTCAAACGGCCAGGAAATAGTGTTGAAGCCCGTGTGAAACCTGCTGCTCTTTGTGATCTCGGGAGACACATATTAGGCTGCTGTTCTACCCGAGAGGCTGGGGGAAGGACCACCCCCTCGGCCATCTATTGCTTCAATACCACCTGTCCTCCTGTGAATTAGTAGGAAAGGGGAGCAGGAGCTAGTGCTGTCGCTGATCTCTGATTCCAAGATCTGGACTCACTCCAAGGAGTGTTAATGTTTACCTCCCCATGGTCTACCTGAATCTCCACAGGTGATTGGAAGTAGGGGTGAGGTGGGGGATTTGGGTGAGTGGGCAAGTTTTTTTTGTGATGACCAGAGCACTTTCTCTATTCCAGGATCTGTGCTGGAGGATTCAGCGGACTTTCACATTTTCTATATGATCTCATGCTCACAGAAAGCCAAATAGGGAAGAGGTTTTAGGCTCATTGCCTAATGGATAAGATAAAGGATCAAAGAAGTAATTATAGAGAAATAGAAAAATCATGATTGGAATTCAGGTCCCTTTGTCATTTGCGTGTGTTATATTATATTTATATTTATGCATTTCTTATTTTTATTTTTTGAGACGGAGTCTCCTTGTGCCACCCAGGCTGGAGTGCAGTGATGCAACCTCCACTCACTGCAACCTCCACCTCCTGGGTTGAAGTCATTCTCCTGCTTCATCCTCCAGAGTAGGAGCTGGGATTACAGGGATGCACCACCATGCTCGGCTAATTTTTGTGTTTTTCCTAGAGACAGGGTTTCACCATGTTGGCCAGGCTGGTCTCGAACTGCTGACTTCATGTGATCCACCCGCCTTGGCCTCCTGCAGTGCTGGGTTACAGGCGTGAGCCACCGTTCACAGACTTGTATATTATGCTATAATAGGTCTCTTCATTTCCACCACCCCTCATATATCTGTCACTCCTTTGCCAGGTATTGATTTATGTGTAGGATGAATAAATCTCAGAAAGAAATTAATTAAGCGAGGATTAAACAAGTAGGAAAATCAAACCCAGCAAGCCTTTCCAGTCAATGATTCTACCTCACAAACCTATCTTATATCCATCTACTTCATTCATTTAGTGTCTAAATCAGCACCACATTTCACCAGTGGGGCGGCAATTGCCTTTTCCACGGTCTCCTAGATTCCAGTTATGCAACTGAGCCTCCCTTATTTTCATGTCAGTCATATTAATCATGTAGGGATTCCTGGCTACCCCGAGGTGAATCCAATGGCTGTGAGTGTCAAACACACACTCCTTGTTCCTCCTTAGTTTCCTGTGTACCCAGTGTGCTCTCCGTCTCTCCACAGTCATCTTGTCATTCTCCCCACATCATTCCCAGCATTTGAGGAAGAGCCTCTTCCTTCCACATCAGATTGTTTTCACCTTTGTGCCTTCACGGCTGACAGCTGTGTGTGCAAAATCCTTCCGCCAATCTTTCAGGGGTTCAATCCGTGTTTTTCATTAATGTCACAAATATCTGAATAGTGAGACCTTCTTTGTCACCTGAAATCATACACTCAGCATTATCTATTATTGATTTTGAATTCTGGCTGGGCACAGTGGCTCACGCCTGTAGTCCCATTACTTTGGCATGCTGAGACGGTCGGATCACTTGAGGTTGGGAGTTTCAGACAAGCTTGGCCAACGTGGTGAAACATCCTCTCTACAAAAAATATACAAAAAGAATTAGCCGGGCACGGTGGCAGTTGCCTGTAATCCCAGCTACTCGAGAGGCGGAGGCAGGAGAATCACTTGAATCCAGGAGAAGCAGGTTGCAGTGAGCCAAGATCGTGACACTGCACTGTAGCCTGGAAGACAGAGGGCAACTCTGTCTCAATAAACAAAAGAACAAACAAAAAATAGATTTCATGCACAGATGCTTCCCAATGGATCATTCATTTATAGATCCACTTGTGCATTCATTTTCTGCCCTCCCATTTAACCATCTGCAATATCAGTGTCCCAAGGGCAGAGGCCAAATGCATCTTGTTCACTGTTTGTGGAAGGCAGGAGAATGCTGTCCCACCCCAAAATGTCCCTGTCCTAGCCTCCATACCTTGTGAATATGTTATTTTACATGGAAAGGAGGAATGAAGATTGTAGATGGAATTACGGTTGCTAATCAGCTGAACTTAAAACAAGGGTATCCTGGATGATTTCCAGGAGATTATGAGGGATTTTCATCTTGGTGAACCCAATAGAATCCCCAAGTTTTCAAAAGATAAGGAAGAAGGGAGAGCAGCATTCAGAGAAAGAGGTGTGGTAAGGAAGAAGGCACTGAGTGATGCCATGTGAGATGTGACCAGTCTTTGTGGGTTTTGAGGAAGGAGGAAGGGGACCAGGAGCCAAGGAACTGGGAGCCTTTAGAAGCTGGGACAAGTGAGAAGCAGATTCTTGCCTGGAATCCTCAGAGGGAAGGCAGCCTTGCTGTCACCTTGATTTTAGCCCAGTAAGATGCACTTCCTACTTTGAGCTACAGCACTGTAAGATAATTAAAAAACCGTTTTGTTTTCACCCACGAATCTTGTGGAAATTTGTTATGGCAACAATAGGAAAAGGTTCCGCACTGCACAGCCTGAGCATGGGGCCGTGGCTGAATGAGTCAGTGAGTCGAAGTGTGCGTGCATGAGCTCCGTTCTCTGTTACGGCAAGGCTGTTGCTCTGCTGAGTCAGCCAGGGTTGCTTCATGACCAACAGTAATTCATTCCTTGGCAAGTGGAACTTCTCTAAAACACCTCGCCCTCATCAGATGTTCCCTTCCCTTCCCTCTCTCAAGCCCCCAGGAATTTATCCTCCAGTTAGGAATGCAGGCAGAACAAACATTGCATTTTTCCTGAGAAGGATGTCAGATTGGCAATCATTCTTCTAGCTTGTAGGAGGTCTCAGCTCCATAAAATGAGAGATTAAGAGATTTCACTGAGCCCTAGGTTGGGCCCAGATCCCTTTCGCTGTTGGAGTATCTGGAGTTCGGAGATGGTAGAAGACAGGCGTACAATGTCAGAGCTGCGAGATGCTGAGTCAATGCCTGCATCGAAGGTTTCTACCTCCCCAGGTTTCCAAAAGCGGATATAAGAGGGTTCTGTACTCACCGGTTTTAGAGCTTGGTTCAGTGGGTGAAGGCCAACTATTTGAAGGGTTTCCTAGAACATGAGACAGGAGAGAGGTGAGGAAATGAGGGTGTCTGTCCTCTACTCAATGGAAATCTTTGAGGTTGGTTCATGGCCAACACTCTGTTATCTAATATTGGGCCCTGGGAGTCCTGGGATCCTTTTTTCCATAATTTTTGTATGTGACGCCCATTGTCTTGAGACTTCAAGGTATAAAGAGAAAACAGGAGCATCACACTACCTGATCTCAAAATATGTTACAGAGCTGTAGTAAGCAAGACAGCATGATGTTGGCATGAAGAAAGGCACATAGAACAATGGAGCAGAATGAACAACACAAATATAATCCATGCATTTACATCCAATGTTTTTTTCTTTTTTCTTTTGAGATGGAGTCTCGCTCTGTCACCCAGGCTGGAGTGCAGAGGTGCAATCTCGGTTCACTGCCACCACAGCCTCCTGGGTTCAATCAATTCTCTGGCCTCAAACTCCTGAGTAGTGGTATTATAGGTGCTGACCACCATGCTCAGCTAATTTATATATTTTTAGTGGAGACGATGTTTCATCACGTCGGCCAGACTAATCTTGAACTCCTGGCCTCAGGTGATCCACCCGCCTTGGGCTCCCAAAGTGCTGAAATTGCAGGTGTCAGTCACCATGCCCAGCCCATCCAATGGACTTTGACAAAGGTGCCAAGAACTCACAATCAGGAAAGGACAGTCTTTTCAATAAACAGTGCAGGGAAACCTGGACATCTACATGCAGAGGAATGAAACTGCACCTCTACCTGTCACCATACACAAAAATCAAATGAAAATGGATTAAAGATGTGAGTCTAAGGCCTGAACCTATGAAACACGTAGAAGAAAATATTGGGGAAATGCTCCAGGACATTTGTCTGAAGGAAGACATTTTGTTTTAAACCTTCAAAACACAAGTAATCGAAGCAAAAATAGACCATTGGGATTACCTCAAGCTAAGCAACTTCTGCACCGCTAAAAATAAACCAACAAAGTGAAGAGACAACCCACAGATTGGGAGCAAATATGTGCAAACTATGCATCTGAGATGGGATTAATAACTAGAAATATAAGAAGCTCAAACAACTCAATAAAACAAATGATTTAATTGAAACAGGAGCAAAAGACATGAAATTTCCCCACATACGAAAAACTGCTCAGTATCACTCATCATCAGAGAAACGCAAATTAAAATCAAAGTGAGTTTTCATCTCACCCCATTAAAATGGCTTTTAGGCCGGGCGTGGTGGCTCACGTCTGTCATCCTAGATCTTTGAGAGCCTGAGGTGGGTGAATCTCATAAGGTCGGGAGTTTGAGACCAGTCTGACCCACATGGAGAAACACTGTCTCTACTAAAAATACAAAAATTAGTCGGGCGTGGTGGCGTGTGCCTGTAATTCCAGCTACTCGGGAGGCTGAGGCAGGAGAATCGCTTGAACCTGGGAGGTGGAGGTTGTGGTGAGCCGAGATCGCACCACTGCACTCCAGCCTGGGTGACAAGAGCGAAACTCCATCTCAAAATAAAATGAAATAAAGTAAAATGGCTTTTAGCTGCAAGACAGGCAAAGGAAATCCTGCCAAAGTGGTAGAGAAAGGAGAACCCTAATACCCTGTTGGTAGGAGTGTAAATTAGTACAGCCTTTACGGAGAAAAGTGTGGAAGTCCTTTAAAGAACTAAAAAGAGGTTGGGTGAGGTGGATCATGCCTGTAATCCCGGCACTTTGGGAGACCGAGGCGGACACCTCAGTTGAGGTCATGAGTTTGAGAGCAGCCCAGCCAACATGGGGAAACCCCATCTATACTAAAAAAACCAAAAAGTAGCCAGGCATGGTGGCGTGCACCTGTAATCCCAGCTACTAGGGAGGCTGAGGTAGGAAAATCATTTGAACCCAGGAGGCAGAGGTTGCAATGAGCCAAGATGACATCACTTGTACTCCAGCCTGGGCACAGAGGGAAACTGTCTCAAAAACAAAAACAAAACAACAAACGAATAACTAAAAAGAGAACTTTCATAGTATCCAGCAATTTCACTACTGGGTTTATATCCAAAGGAAAGTAAATCAATATATCGAAGTGATATCTGCACTCGTATGATTGGTGCAGCACTGTTCACAGTAGCCAAGATGTGGAGTCAACCTACCTGCCCATCAGTGGATGAATGGATAGAGAGAATGTAGTACATACGCACAGTGGAGACTACTCATCCATAGAAAGAATAACATCCTGATATTTGCAGCCACATGGATGGAACTGCAAGTCATTACAAAGATTCCCATTTCTCACCCATATACAGAGCTAAAAGGTGGATCTCATGAAGGTAGAGAGTAGAATGGTGGCTTCCAGAGGCCAGGAAGAAAAGGGTGGAGGGTAAAAAAAAAAAAAAAAATATATATATATATATATATATATATATATATATACATACATATATATATATATATATTTATAAATGTATTTATGACCACTAGACTTTACACTTAAAAATGGTAAATGTGGCTGGGAGTGGTGGCTCATGCCTGTAATCCCAGCACTTTGGGAGGCAGATGCGGGTGGATCACGTGGTCAGGAGTTGGAGACCAGCTCGACCAACATGGTGAAACCACCTCTCTACTAAAAATACAAAAAGTAGCCTGGCGTGGTGGTGCGCGCCTGTAGCACCAGCTACTCAGGTGGCTGAGGCAGGAGAATCACTTGAACCCAGGAGGCGGAAGTTGCAGTGAGCTGAGATTGTGCCACTGCACTGCAGCATAGGGGACAGAGCTAGACTCTGCCTCAAAAAAAAAAAAAATGTTAAAGGTGGTAAGCTATATAGGTATATTTATCCTCAATAAATATTTCTTCAAACAAAAGTAAAGGGTGTAGGGGTTGCTGGTGATGACATCCCTGTGTGGGTGAGAGGCCAGGATGGGCTTCTGGGAAATGGGTAATGTTGAGGGGCTGAGGGAACCTCTGATCTTCCCAAACTGAGCCCAGTCTCCCTCCTCTGGGTCTCTCCTGACCGCTTTCTCCATCTGCCTGTGTGCCTGGAGCCCTGGCCGCGGGCCTTCATGCAGGCCGTGTAGGAGGGTTTGGAGGTGCCCTGTCTGCCATCCTGTGCCCTGATCCCTCCCTCACACCCAAGCTTCGTCTTCTCTCTGCATCTGTCCATGCTTATCTCCATCATCAGCAGGAAGCTCCTCAGCTAAGGCTCTAGGATCATAGGACATGAGACAGATATGGGGTTTCCTCACCTATGACAGAAACAAGCAGTGGGTCACTCGAGTTTGACCACTCGTATGGAGAGTCACGGAAAGAGCCGAAGCATCTGTAGGTTCCTCCGTGGGTGGCAGGGCCCAGAGGAAAGTCGGCCTGGAATGTTCCGTTGACCTTGGGCCCTGCAGAGAACCTACATTCATGGGCCTCCCCCTCCCTGGATAGATGGTACATGTCATAGGAGCTCCGGGAGCTGCAGGACAAGGTCACGCTCTCTCCTGCCAGAACCGTGGGGCCCGGCTGGGCTGAGAGAGAAGGTTTCTCATATAGACCTGGAAGGAGAAGAGGCATTTTCCTCAGGGAGGATCTTCCTTGTCACAGCTCCCTTCACCTGAGCTGAGAACTCACTCCCCTGCTCTATGACCTAATGCTCTCTCTCTCTCTCTCTCACCCTCCACCCCATCTCTCTTCATATCTATTTCCTTCTTCCACCTTCTCTGTCTCTCTAGGTCTCTGACCTCGCTTCCCCACCTCTAGATATGTTTTCCGTTTTTGGATTGTTTTATTCTCTCTGACTCTCCTTGGGTTGGTTGACTTGATGTTACTTTTTTAAATTCTAAGTTTCTCACGTTGTGTCCTGTTCATAACTTTCTGCATATTTCTATCTATTATCTGTCGATCTATCTATTTATCTATTCGGTGCCTATCTACAAATTCTCTACCTGTCATCTATATCTATATATCATCTATGTATCTATCAGTTGTCTATCTATCCATCAATCATCTGTTATTTATATGTATGTATCATCTCTCTCTCTATGATTTCTGTCTGCCTCTCTATCTGTACGTATTATCTGTCTTCATCATCATCATCTCTATGTATTATCTATTAATGAATCAATCAATCATCATCTATGTATCTTTAACCTATTATCTATCATCTACCTATTTATCATCTATCTATATCTATCCATCTATCATCTGTATTGCTCTGCCTCTCGGTCTCTCTAGCTCTCTTTGGAATCTCTGCAATTCATCCCCACATCTCCATGTTTCTATGTCCTTGTGCCTCTCTCTCAGGACTCTAATTTTAGTGCTTTTCTCTGCTCCCTGCCATCATTCTCACCACTCCTCTGCCCTCTTTTCTCTCTCTTTATGTGTCTGTGAGTCTCTCAATCTCCTTCCTCTGGCTCATTCTCCGTGTGTTTATGTCTTTGCTTTTTGGTGTTCCTGATTTTTCTCTGTGCCTCTCAGTGATCCTTTCATATGTGGGGTTATTTGGAATGTGAGCCTCAGAATCCAGTCTGGAGACCACAAGTTCACACAGCATACAGGGGTTGGTGTTCTGGGGCCATGATATCCTGGGACGGTTACTCTCCATTACATGGAAGGCAGAGGTGTCAGAATAAACATGGCCTGTAGGTGCCACAAGGCCTGAGGCCACAGGGCCCAACTCAGGTCAGAAATATGGGTGTCCTTGGGTTCTCCTGGTAGAGAACACTTTGTGGAGGTAAAACAGAAATGAAACTTCTAACCTGTGCCAGGTCTGTGAGCAAAGTCAGCATGGAGGGACACCTCTCTCTGGGACATGTCTGTCTGTCTGTCTCTTTTAACTCTTTCTGTCTTTTCTAACTCCCTGTATGGCCCCTGTGTCTGTCCTCCGTTATGACACCTGGTCTGTACTTGTGTCTCCTGTTTCTCTGTCTCTGTTGGTACAAACCTCAGCAAGTCAGTCTCTCTCCATAAGAATACCAAGCTCATCTTCCTTACAACTACCTGGGGGTTCCAAGTCGTGGATCATTCACTCTGCAGCCCAATGACAATGAGAATGTCCGGACACTCTCACCTGTGATGACGATGTCCAGAGGGTCACTGGGAGCTGACAACTGATAGGGGGAGTGAGTAACAGAACCGTAGCATCTGTAGGTCCCTGCAAGGTCTTGCATCATGGGACCGATGGAGAAGTTGGCTTTGGAGACCCCATCATGGTGCTCTCCAATGAGGTGCAAAGTGTCCTTAAACTTCCCTTCTCTGTGCAGAAGGAAGTGCTCAAACCTGACATCTGACCAACATTGCAGGATGACTGTCTCTTCTGATTTCACCAGGCGACCTGGGTGGGCCAGGAGGGAAGGTTTTCTGTGGACTCCTAGGAAGAGAGGTTGTGAGTTTAGAAGGTGTCTCTCTTTATCATCCCATCCATGGCACCTAGAATGAGTGAGGCTTCCCCTTGCTGGTGTCTGTCTCTCTCCTTCCTCTCTGTGTCTTCATGTTCTTTTCTGTGCCCTTAACTCCTGGTGCAGGTCCTTCCATCTGTCTCCCTCCCTCTTCTCTGTCCCTCTGTCTCTAGTAGCCTCTGATTCCCTTCCCACTGGGCTTAGCCTCATCTCTTGGGGTGTTGTATCTATTTCACACTAATGTCTTTCCTGCTGTTTATGTGGGGGTGAAAGAGGAACCAGGATAGGCTGCACATCCAGGCTCTTATCAGCCTGGTTCAATCTCTTTTGGATGAATTGCAATCCTTGGCAGAAGATATGAACTGATGAATAAGGCAGGCACCAGTGTCCACACACCCTGTTCCTGGTGGGGACTGGGAGCCACTCTTGCCATGCCTGTGCCTTCTCCATGGTGCCAGCTTCCATAGGCTGGCTCCTGGTGCTGGTTGGAGGAGTATCAACCCCTCCCTATGTGGATGGAGCCTGGTGGTGGCATCATCATCCCACCCTTGCTGATCTCAGGGTAGCCAACCTTCTCCTTCTTTGGTTTCTTTAATTAATTAATTAATTTTGGAGACAGAGTCTCACTCCTTCACCCAGGCTGGAGTGAAGTGGTGTGGTCTAGGCTCACTGCAACCTCTGTTTCCTGGGTTCAAGTGATTCTCCTGCCCTCAGCCTCCTGAGTCGCTAGGATTACATGCGCCTGCCACCATGCCTGGCTTTCCTTGGGTTGTTTCTTAACTTGTCCTTGACCTGGGTTCCAGTGTTGGTTTCCTGTTGCTGCTGTACAAAATTATCAGAAGCATGGAAGCAGGAGAGACCACACTGACACCTTCCAGTACTGGAGACAGAAATTGGACCCTATTTTTCCTGGGCTAAAATCAAGGCATCTGCAGGGCTTTGTTCCCTCTGGAGACTCTGGAGAATCAGTTCCTTGACTTTTCCAGCCTCTATAGGCCACCTGCATTCATGGCTCTTGGCCTTCCTCCACCTTCAAAGCTGGTGAAGACTTCCACTGGACTGCTCTAATCCCCACTCCCCTCTTCCTCCTCCTTTCATGTGCACCCTTGTGATTACACTGAGCCCAGTGGGACAGTCCAGGCTGTCTCCCCATGAGCTCCATCTTCCCCTTCAGTCCCTTCCCCTATAACATACATAGTCACAGACTCCAGGGATTAGAATGTAGTCATCACTGGGGACAATTATTCTTCCCACCACAGCACCCATTTCCCTGTATTCAATCCCCCTTTACCACAAATACAGTCAGGGCCTGCGTGATGGGACCCTCAAGGACATGCCCACCAGAAGCTCTGGGATTCAGGAGGTGGGACAAGGAGAATCCAAGACAGGAGCCCTCTGACCTATGACCACGATCACCAGGGGGTTGCTGGGTGCTGACCACCCACTGGGGGAGTGTGTGTGTGAACCCCGACATCTGTATGTCCCTGTTGTGCGGGGGTCACAGGGCCCATGAAAAGGCTGTTCCAGAATATTCTGTTGTAGAGCTCAGGGACAGGCACCCCACCTTCCTTGTACAGACTGAAGTTGTTAAACCCAAGATAAGAGTGACACCGAAGAATGACATGTCCTAGAGGCACCACAAGGCTGGGCCAGGCAGACAGCAAGGGCTTGTCCTGACCACCTTGGGGAGAAGGAGGCGCCGCCTTAGAGAGGAGGATGTGGAACTGCCCCTCCCTCCCTGTGCTCAGAAGATTCTCCTCGCTTTCCACGTTTCTATGGCTACTATCACACCTTGGTGCCCAGGGCTGAAGGAAGGACCCATCCCGCAAAGACATGGTGTCTCCCTACAACAAAAGCCTCAGCTGAGAACTTTGAGCAAGTGCTGAGTAAAGAGACTCCTACTAGATTTTGATACTGTAAGATTACTCACATAAAACAACACAGGGTAGACATGAGGTGGAGGGCATGTCCTTTGTGAATGGATATCAGCGGATGCCTGAACGAAAATAAACAACTGAGCCCCCATCAGAGGATTTGGAATGTCAGGGCCATGGCTGTGGTTTCCCACCTCTTCTGGTAGAATGACAGCAGCCACACTGCAGCCCCTACCATCATGGAAACGCTGAAGTGTGTGAGTAACACCTTTGTCCTCAGAGGATCTGCTGTTCCTACCACTTCCCAACCACACACCCCAGCTTTGAGCACCCCAGTCTAACCCTGGTCCCCACAGAACTTGACTCTGCCAAGGGGTTGAGAGGCCAGGGAGGCGAGGTCAGAAATGTGGGCTGAGCACCCCAGGGTCCTCTCTTCCTAGTTTATGAGAGACTCCCCGACAGGACTTCCCTCCTGTTTCAGGAAAATCCTCTTATGTGGGGAGATGACACCCGAAGGTTTGGAGAAGGACTCACCCTCATGTGGCCAGGCCCCCTGCAGCAAGAAGAACCCTGGAAAGAAAGATCATGATGGACGATCCATCTGCAGGCGAACCAGCCCTCCCTTGCTGCCCCCACTGGGCTGTGAGTCTTGGCAGCCAGGCCCTTCCTGGGCTGAAGTTAAACTCACCCTCAGTGCCTACCTGCACCCAAGAACAGGGCTGTCGGCTGTGCAGAGACCCAGTTTCCAGGCCCATATCCCCACCCCAAGCCCATATCTCCACTCCAGGCTGATATTTCCACCCTAGGCCCATATCGCCAATCCAGGCTCAGATCTCCACCCTAGGCCCCTATCTCCAATCCAGTCCCATATCTCCGCCCCAGGCCCAGAACTCCACCCTAAGCCCATATCTCCACTCCAGGCCCATATCACCTCTCCAGTCCCATATCTCCACACCCAGGCCCATATCTCCTTCCTAGGCCCATATCTCCACTCCAGGCCCAGATATCCACCTCTAGGCCCATAACTCCACTCCTGGCCCATATCTCCACTCCAGGCCCATATCTCTACTGCAGGCCCGTATCTCCACCTCCAGACCCATATCTCCACTCCAGGCCCATATCTCCACCTCCAGGCCCATATCTCCACCTCCAGGCCCATATCTCCACTTCAGGCCCATATCTCCACTCCAGGCCCATATCTCCACTCCAGGCCCCTATCTCTACTGCAGGCCCATATCTCCATCTCCAGGCCCATATCTCCATCTCCAGGCCCATGTCTCCACTACAAGCCCATATCTCTACTGCAGGCCCATATCTCAACCTCCAGGCCCATATCTCCACTCCAGGCCCAGATCTCCACTTCTAGGCCCATCACTCCATCTCTAGGCCCATAACTCCACTTCCAGGCCTATATCTCCAACTCTGGGCCCCGATCTCCATCCCCGCACTCCCTCCCTCGATTCCCTTCCAGGACTCACCAACACACGCCATGCTGACGACCATGAGCGACATGGTGCTGTCTGTGCAGACAGGCGGCCGCGCCCCAGCTCAGCTCAGCAGCGCACAGGATGTTATTTGGCGCCCTGCCCATGCAGTTTACATGTTGACCACATCATGGGAGGGTGACGTACGCAGGCTCTTTCTACCTTGCATGAGGCCCAGTGGGTGCTCGCTCAAGAGCGGAACATGGCTTCCTGGAAATTGTTCTCACTAGAATTGACACCTTGCGTCCTTCACTACGACCAGACTCAAAAGACGTCTCAGATCCAACCTCTCATACACGAGATGATTGAATTCTGTGCTTACATTAAAGATTTTTGATGTATTTTTGTTTTTATCTGAGATTCAAACTCTTCTTCATATGTAATGTGCAAAATGTCTAACAGGTATTATTAACATTATCAGAGTAATTGTGACAAGAAGC
The DNA here is from genome assembly GCF_000001405.40 of Homo sapiens. NCBI lineage: Eukaryota > Metazoa > Chordata > Mammalia > Primates > Hominidae > Homo > Homo sapiens. The sequence goes on along the minus strand of NW_016107310.1, from coordinate 41,894 downwards.
CATTCTAATTTTCCTGCTTGAGTTTCTAGTACTAAACCAGAGGCATCAGAATAGCTTGAACCTGGGAGGCGGAGGTTGCAGTGAGCTGAGCTCAAGCCACTGAACTCCAGCTTGGGTGACAGAGGAAGAGTCTGTCTCAAGAAAAAAAAAAAAGCAAACTAAATAACCTATAATAACAAATCAGAGGACTCAGGTTACCAAATTTTAAGGGGTTCTATAAGTTTATATAAAATGCAGCATCCTCATGAGAGGGGATACAGAGAACCACTGGACAGAAAACTGTGTCTAAAATACATCTGTGGATACACAGTCCCTTTATAGTTGACAAAGGCTGCCATGTAGTTTAAGGTGGAATAGAATATTTTCTCAACAAATAACACAGGACCATAGGGTTACACGTAGGAAAAAATAAATCTAAACTTATCCTCACACTATAAAAACACTTCTTATTTTTTATCTTGTTGTTGTAAATTTTTTATGCTTTATTTTTAAGATTGACAAATAAAAATTATATACCATGGTCCTTCACTATACCTGGGTGATTGGTTCCAGGATCCCCATTCAGATACCAAAATCTGCAGATGCTCAAGCCCCTTGCATGAAATGGCATAGTGAAGCTGGGCACCGTGGCTCACGCCCGTAATCCCAGCACTTTGGGAGGCTGAGCTGGGTAGATCACAAGGTCAGGAGTTCAAGACCAGCTGGTCCAACATTCTGAAACCCCGTCTCTACTAAAAATACACACACAAAAAAATTTATCTGTGCATGGTGGCACGTGCCTGTAATCCTAGGGGAGGCTACTGGGGAGGCTGAGGGAAGACAATCGCTTGAACCTGGGAGGCGGAGGTTGCAGTGAGTTGAGATCACGCCACTGCACTCCAGCCTGGGTGAGAGAGTGAGACTGTCTCAAAAAAAAAAAATAGCATAGCAATTGCATAGAACCCATGCACATCCTCCTGTATACATGAAATCATCTCTTGATTACTTATAATTCCTGACACAGCCTACACGCCACTCAATTTGTGTCGATTCAACATAGTTTTTTGCTTCTTGAAACTTCGGGGATTTTTTTCTCAAAATATTTTTGATTTATTGTTGGTTCAATAAACACCTGTAAACCCCACAGATATGGAGGACCGACTGTATATTTATATTATGAAAGATGATATGTTGATATGTGTCCCCGTGGAGATGAGACTAACAAGGCCTATGACTCTACAAATGTTTCATCGTGGAATGACTCTGCCAGCTTTCCAGGTCTGCAGAGAGTAAGAATATCACTTGTTCATGTGATTCACGATCCTTGGAGCCTCCTATGTGCTGTATCTTTGGATGGAAATTGGAGTCTCAGAGACAATTCAGGCTCCATTCTGCTTCCAGAAGCTCAGAGTCCAGGGCTGAGAACCCAATGGAGAACAGATGGGGTTATGTGGACATGGTAATGATAACACCGGAAGCCTTAGGCAAGAGAAGAGTCTCGTTACCGAAACCATGAGGGCAGACATGTTTATTTGAAGGCGGGAAAACTACATTGAAATTATTTAAAAAATTTATAAGTTTTACTGCTGGCAGAAGGCTGAAAGATAGTCTGAAGGGAGGTGGAACAGCACGTGTCTAAGTGCTGTGTTAAGAGGGAGCCTCTTGTATGTTTGGAATTGTGAGTTCCTCAGTGTGATTGCAGCCTCAGGTAGACTAGGAAGTAAGCTAGTTAGGTTGGAGAGGTGGGCAGGGGTCAAGTGAAATGGAGAATTGTGGGCTAAGCAAAGGAGTGTGTTTTCTCTCCAGCAGGCAGTGGGGACCTTAGACATTTGTAAGCAAGAGAGAGGCATACTGTTCAGATTCGTGGTGTGAGGAAGAGCGATGCCCTAAGATGAGACTGATGCCTTCAGATTCCAGCTGCTGGTACATGGGAGCTGGCAACCCGGTTTTGAGACAGGGCTGTTGTCTCCCTAGAAGATCCCCTCAAGGCCTGACTGTGGTGCTCGTGGACAGAAGACAACTTTGGATCTGGGCTCAGCATTTGGAAGTTCTATGTACATGCTGGTATCTGTTGGGGGTGTCTTGGGCCTCTCAGAAGGGCGAGTGATTTCTCTCTGTGTGAAAACACAGTGATCCAATTATGCGTATGACACCTCCTGATGGTCTTGTTCATCAGAATCCTGGAGAGAGGGAAATGCTGAGTGAGGGAGGGTGCTCACATTTTTCAGGACTCTTTGGGAATAAGACTAGCCACGAGGCTGGGCCGAGGAGCACCTACCTCGCTGTTCACTGTTCTGTTCCCTGCAGGCTCTTGGTCCATTACAGCAGCATCTGTAGAAGACGGAAGTCAACAAAAGAGCTCGGAGGGCACTTCTGGGTCCTCATTTCATAAGCAGATACCAACAAACAGGGGGAGGCCATAGGTGCCTGAGGTCCCTCAGTTGCCAACAGCAGACTCAGACATTCTATCTCTCTGAGTTCAAGGACCCATCCCATGAATAGCTCTGAGTTCCCATCCCATTGATTCTATCTCCCACTTTCTGCCTGTCATGGAACCTTCTCCTGGATGTGAGTGGCTGCAGGGGACGTGAGGGTACAGTTCAGAATCAGGCAACGGTCTGTGAGCTGAAGGCAGGGGAAGGGAATCTGGTGCTCTCTCTAGAAAGTCCTGCCTCTGTGGCTCCTGTCTTGGGCCAGGGACCATCCTGCTGGTGAGGAACACACACCTGAGTGCTCCCATCCTGCTTCCCCACATGGCCCTGAGCTCTCTGGCCTCTGCTTCGTGAGACTTACTTTTTTTGTTGGAGCACCAGCGATGAAGGAGAAAGAAGAGGAGGATGGTGAAAGGGATTTTGACCACTGAGGTCCCAATCAGAACATGCAGGTGTCTGGGGTTACCTGGAAGAAGAGGAGACACCAATAAGAAGCTAATCATAGCAGTTCCTCTTTATGAATTGTCTCGCATTTCTTGATTGGCAGGTAACCACATACAACGTCTCTTTAGGACAAGCACCCAAATGGCGGGAGACCTAGCTTTCCCCTGCTTTCTCAATTATAGCTCTCATAGTAACCATAGAACGTGCTGAGGATACAACTACTTTAGTTGAGATGTTTGACCCCTTCAAACCTCACATTGAAATTTCACCCCCATTGTGGGAGGTTGGGCCTCTTCAGAGGTGTTTGGGTCATGGAGGTGGATCCATCATGAACAGATCAATGCTGTCCCAAGGAGACGGGGTTAGCAAGTTCCCCCTCTGTTAGTTCCTGGACAGCTGGTTGTTAAAAAGAGCTTGGAAGCTCCATTGCTCCCTCTCCCCCTTACTCTCTCTCTTGCCGTGTGATCTCTGTGGTCTCTGCACAGACAGACCCTCCTTCCCTTCTGCCAGAGTGGGAGCAGCCTGAGGCCATCACGAGAAATAGATTCTGGTGCCATGCTTCCAGTACAGCCTGCAGAACTGTGAGGCAAACCGATCTCTTTTCTTTAGAAGTTACCGAGGCTCAAGTGTTCCTTCAGAGCAACAAAAAAAAAAACTAAGACAGCAACGACCTGAGATCAGGAGGAATGTCTCAGAACAGCCTGGGCTGTCTTCCTGTTCTTCCTGGAGGAAGGCGTCATGCAGTGCTTTAGCTGAGTGCTTCCTGTGGCTCCAGGGTACAAAACCCAGGCTGGGCTGCTTTCTGGCTTCCCCCAGCTACACTGCAAATGGGGTGACTCCATATGTCCCGAGCAGCTTTTCTGAGCCTTGAGGGACTGGCTCACATTGAAATGTAGGCTTCTGTTGTCACTCGCTGCTTATCTGTTAGTAATGAACCTGCCTGTGTAATGTATTCTCTGTGTGTTCTGTCTCCCTGGAGTGACGGTGAGTGATAGGAATTGGCATAGGCCCAGGTGCAGTCCAGGAGGTGTTTAGAGTCTTCTCTGGGAAGACTGCACTGGGATTGATACACAGCGACTGTGCTTTAGGATTTCTACATCCACGGCATTCTTGAGTCAAACAACTTGCATTCTCCAAGAAAAGGAAACAAAAGTGAAATCAAGATAAAAAAAGCGAAGTAGAATTCTCTTATGTCAAATGGCCAGGAAACAGTGTTGAAGCCCATGTGAAACGTGCTACTCTTTGTGATCTCAGGAGACACATGTTAGGTTGCTGTTCTACCCGAGAGGCTGGGGGAAGGACCACCCCCTCGGCCATCTATTGCTTCAATACCACCTGTCCTCCTGTGAATTAGTAGGAAAGGGGAGCAGGAGCTACTGCTGACGCTAATCTCTGATTCCAAGATCTGGACTCACTCCAAGGAGTATTAGAATTTACCTCCCCATGGCCTATCTGAATCTCCACAGATGATTGGAAGTAGGGGTGAGGTGGGGGATTTGGGTGAGAGGGCATGTTTTCTTGTGATGAACAGAGCACTTTGTGTATTCCAGGATCTGTGCTGGAGGATTCAGCGGGCTTTCACATTTTCTATATGATCTCATGCTCACAGAAAGCCAAATAGGGAAGAGGTTTTAGGCTCATTGCCTAATGGATAAGATAAAGGATCAAAGAAGTAATTATAGAGAAATAGAAAAATCATGATTGGAATTCAGGTCCCTTTCTCATTTGCATGTGTTATATTATATTTATATTTATGCATTTCTTATTTTTATTTTTTGAGACGGAGTCTCCTTGTGTCACCCAGGCTGGAGTGCAGTGATGCAATCTCCACTCACTGCAACCTCCACCTCCTGGGTTGAAGTCATTCTCCTGCTTCATCCTCCAGAGTAGGAGCTGGGATTACAGGGATGCACCACCATGCTCGGCTAATTTTTGTGTTTTTCCTAGAGACAGGGTTTCACCATGTTGGCCAGGCTGGTCTCGAACTGCTGACTTCATGTGATCCACCCGCCTTGGCCTCCTGCAGTGCTGGGTTACAGGCGTGAGCCACCGTTCACAGACTTGTATATTATGCTATAATAGGTCCCTTCATTTCCACCACCCCTCATATATCTGTCACTCCTTTGCCAGGTATTGATTTATGTGTAGTAGGAATAAAGCTCAGAAAGAAATTAAGCGAGGATTAGACAACTAGGAAAATCATACCCAGCAAGCCTTTCCAGCCAATGATTCCACCTCACAAGCATAGCTTATATCCATCTGCTTCACCCAGTTAGGGTCTAAATCAGCACCACATTTCACCAGTGGGGCGGGAATTGCCTTTTCCACAGTCTCCTAGATTCCAGTTATGCACCTGGGCCTCCCTTATTTTCATGTCAGTCACTATTAATCATGTAGGGATTCCTGGCTACCCCGAGGTGAATCCAATGGCTGTGAGTGTCAAACACACACTCCTTGTTGCTCCTTAGTTTCCTGTGTACCCAGTGTGCTCTCCGTCTCTCCACAGTCGTCTTGTCATTCTCCCCACCTCATTCCCAGCATTTGAGGCAGAGCCTCTTCCTTCCACATCAGATTGTTTTCAGCTTTCTGCCTTCACGGCTGACAGCTGTGTGTGGAAAATCCTTCCGCCAATCTTTCAGGGGTTCAATCCGTGTTTTTCATTAATGTCACAAATATCTGATTAGTGAGATCTTCTCTGTCACCCAAAATCATACACTCAGCATTATGTATTATTTATTTTAAATTCTGGCTGGGCACAGTGGCTCACGCCAGTTATCCCAGTACTTTAGGATGCTGAGACGGTCGGATCACTTGAGGTTGGGAGTTTCAGAGAAGCTTGGCGAAGATGGTGAAACATCCTCTACAAAAAATATACAAAAAGAATTAGCCGGGCATGGTGGCAGTTGCCTGTAATCCCAGCTACTTGAGAGGCTGACGCAGGAGAATCACTTGGATCCAGAAGGTGCAGGTTGCAGTGAGCCAAGATGGTGACACTGCACTGTAGCCTGGAAGACAGAGGGAGACTCTGTCTCAATAAACAAATGAAGAAACAAACAAATAGATTTCATACACAGATGCTTCCCAATGGATCATTCATTTATTGGTCCACTTGTGCATTCATTTTCTGCCCTCCCATTTAACCATCTGCAATATCAGTGTCCAAAGAGCAGAGGCCAAATGCATCTTGTTCACTGTTTGTGGAAGGCAGGAGAATGCTGTCCCACCCCAAAATGTCCCTGTCCTAGCCTCCATAGCTTGTGAATATCTTATTTTACATGGAAAGGAGGAATGAAGATTGCAGATGGAATTATGGTTGCTAATCAGCTGAACTTAAAACAAGGGTATCCTGAATGATTTCCGGGAGATTATGATGGATTTTCATCTTGGTGAACCCAATAGAATCCCCAAGTTTTCAAAAGATGAGGAAGAAGGGAGAGCAGCATTCAGAGAAAGAGGTGTGGTAAGGAAGAAGGGTCTGAGTGATGCCATGTGAGATGTGACCAGTCTTTGTGGGCTTTGAGGAAGGAGGAAGGGGACCAGGAGCGAAGGAATGTGGGAGCCTCTAGAAGCTGAGAAAAGTGAGAAGCAGATTCTTGCCTGGAATCCTCAGAGGGAAGGCAGCCTTGCTGTCACCTTGATTTTAGCCCAGTGAGATGCACTTCATACTTTGAGCTACAGCACTGTAAGATAATTAAAAAACCGTTTTGTTTTCACCCACGAATCTTGTGGAAATTTGTTATGGCAACAATAGGAAAAGCTTCCACAGTGCACAGCCTGAGCATGGGGCCGTGGCTGAATGAGTCAGTGAGTCGAAGTGTGCGTGCATGAGCTCTGTTCTCTGTTACAGCAAGGCTCTTTCTCTGCTGAGTCAGCCAGGGTTGCTTCATGACCTATAGGAGCTCATTCCTTGGCAAGTGGAACTTCTCTAAAACACCTCGCCCTCATCAGATGTTCCCTTCCCTTCCCTCTCTCAAGTCTCCAGGAATTTATCCTCCAGTTAGGAATGCAGGCAGAACAAACATTGCATTTTTCCTGAGAAGGATGTCAGATTGGCAATCATTCTTCTAGCTTGTAGGAAGTCTCAGCTCCATAAAATGAGAGATGAAGAGATTTCACTGAGCCCTGTGTTGGACCCAGATCCCTTTTGCTGTAGGAGTATCTGGAGTTCGGAGATGGTGGAAGACAGGGGTACAATGTCAGAGCTGTGAGATGCTGAGTCAACGCCTGAATCCAAGGTTTCCACCTCCCCAGGTTTCCAAAAGCGGATATAAGAGGGTTCTGTACTCACCGGTTTTGGAGCTTGGTTCAGTGGGTGAAGGCCAACTATTTGAAGGGTTTCCTAGAACATGAGACAGGAGAGAGGTGAGGAAATGAGGGTGTCTGTCCTCTACTCAGTGGAAATCTTTGAGGATGGTTCATGGCCAACACTCTGTTATCTAATATTGGGCCCTGGGAGTCCTGGGATCCTTTTTTCCATAATTTTTTTATGTGACGCCCACTGTCTTGAGACTTCAAGGTATAAAGAGAAAACAGGAGCATCACACTACCTGATCTCAAAATATGTTACAGAGCTGTAGTAAGCAAAACAGCATGACATTGGCATAAAGAAAGGGACATAGAACAACGGAGCAGAATGAATAACACAGATATATTCCATGCATTTACATCCAATGGTTTTTTATTTTTTCTTTTGAGATGGAGTCTTGCTCTGTCACTCAGGCTGGAGTGCAGAGGTGCAATCTCAGTTCACTGCAACCTCAGCCTCCTGGGTTCAATCATTCTCTTGCCTCAAACTCCTGAGTAGTGGTATTACAGGTGCTGACCACCATGCTCAGCTAATTTTTATATTTTTAGTGGAGACGATGTTTCATCACGTCGTCCAGACTGATCTTGAACTCCTGGCCTCAGGTAATCCACCCGCCTCGGCCTCCCAAAGTGCTGAAATTGCAGGTGTCAGCCACCAAGCCCAGCCCATCCAATGGACTTTGACAAAGGTGCCAAGAACTCACAATCAGGAAAGGACAGTCTTTTCAATAAACAGTGCAGGGAAACCTGGACATCGACATGCAGAGGAATGAAACTGCACCTCTACCTGTCACCATACACAAAAATCAAATGAAAATGGATTAAAGATGTGAGTCTAAGGCCTGAACCTATGAAACACGTAGAACAAAATATTGGGGAAATGCTCCAGGACATTTGTCTGAAGAAAGACATTTTGTTTTAAACCTTGAAAACACAAGTAATCGAAGCAAAAATAGACCATTGGGATTACCTCAAACTAAGCAACTTCTGCACTGCTAAAAATAAACCAACAAAGTGAAGAGACAACCCACAGATTGGGAGCAAATATGTGCAAACTATGCATCTGAGATGGGATTAATAACTAGAAATATAAGAAGCTCAAACAACTCAATAAAACAAATGATTTAATTGAAAAAGGAGCAGAAGACATGAAATTTCCCCACATACTAAAAAGTGCTCAGTATCACTCATCATCAGAGAAACGCAAATTAAAATCAAAGTGAGTTTTCATCTCACCCCATTAAAATGGCTTTTAGGCCGGGCGTGGTGGCTCACGTCTGTCATCCTAGAACTTTGAGAGCCTGAGGTGGGTGAATCTCATAAGGTCAGGAGTTTGAGACCAGTCTGACCCACATAGAGAAACACTGTCTCTACTAAAAATACAAAAATTAGTCGGGCGTGGTGGAGTGTGCCTGTAATTCCAGCTACTCGGGAGGCTGAGGCAGGAGAATCGCTTGAACCTGGGAGGTGGAGGTTGTGGTGAGCCGAGATAGCGCCACTGCACTCCTGCCTGGGTGAGAAGAGCAAAACTCCATTCAAAATAAAATGAAATAAAATAAAATGGCTTTTAGCTGCAAGACAGGCAAAAGAAATGCTGGCAAGGTGGTAGAGAAAGGAGAACCCTGGTACCCTGTTGGGAGGAGTGTAAATTAGTACAGCGATTACGGAGAAAAGTATGGAAGTCCTTTAAAGAACTAAAAAGAGGTTGGGTGTGGTGGATCAGGCCTGTAATCCCAGCACTTTGGGAGACTGAGGCGGGCATCTCAGTTGAGGTCATGAGTTTGAGAGCAGCCCAGCCAACATGGGGAAACCCCATCTATACTAAAAAAAACAAAAAGTAGCCAGGCATGGTGGCGTGCACCTGTAATCCCAGCTACTAGGGAGGCTGAGGCAGGAAAATCATTTGAACCCAGGAGGCAGAGGTTGCAATGAGCCAAGATGACATCACTTGTACTCCAGCCTGGGCACAGAGGGAAACTGTCTCAAAAACAAAAACAAAACAACAAACGAAAAACTAAAAAGAGAACTTTCATAGTATCCAGCAATTTCACTACTGGGTTTATATCCAAAGGAAAGTAAATCAATATATCGAAGTGATATCTGCACTCGTATGATTGGTGCAGCACTGTTCACAGTAGCCAAGATGTGGAGTCAACCTACCTGCCCATCAGTGGATGAATGGATAGAGAGAATGTAGTACATACGCACAGTGGAGACTACTCATCCATAGAAAGAATAACATCCTGATATTTGCAGCCACATGGATGGAACTGGAAGTCATTACAAAGATTCCCATTTCTCACCCATATACAGAGCTAAAAGGTGGATCTCATGAAGGTAGAGAGTAGAATGATGGCTTCCAGAGGCCAGGAAGAAAAGGGTGGAGGGTAAAAAAAAAAAAAAAATATATATATATATAAATGTATTTATGACCACTAGACTTTACACTTAAAAATGGTAAATGTGGCTGGGCGTGGTGGCTCATGCCTGTAATCCCAGCACTTTGGGAGGCACATGCGGGTGGATCACGTGGTCAGGAGTTGGAGACCAGCTCGACCAACATGGTGAAACCACCTCTCTACTAAAAATACAAAAAGTAGCCTGGCGTGGTGGTGCGCGCCTGTAGCACCAGCTACTCAGGTGGCTGAGGCAAGAGAATCGCTTGAACCCAGGAGGCGGAAATTGCAGTGAGCTGAGATTGTGCCACTGCACTCCAGCATAGGGGACAGAGCTAGACTCTGCCTCAAAAAAAAAAAAAATGTTAAAGGTGGTAAGCTATATAGGTATATTTATCCTCAATAAATATTTCTTCAAACAAAAGTAAAGGGTGTAGGGGTTGCTGGTGATGACATCCCTGTGTGGGTGAGAGGCCAGGATGGGCTTCTGGGAAATGGATAATGTTGAGGGGCTGAGGGAACCTCTGATCTTCCCAAACTGAGCCCAGTCTCTCTCCTCTGGGTCTCTCCTGACCGTTTTCTCCATCTGCCTGTGTGCCTGGAGCCCTGGCCGCGGGCCTTCATGCAGGCCGTGTAGGAGGGTTTGGAGGTGCCCTGTCTGCCATCCTGTGCCCTGATCCCTCCCTCACACCCAAGCTTCGTCTTCTCTCTGCATCTGTCCATGCTTCTCTCCATCATCAGCAGGAAGCTCCTCAGCTAAGGCTCTAGGATCATAGGACATGAGACAGATATGGGGTTTCCTCACCTGTGACAGAAACAAGCAGTGGGTCACTCGAGTTTGACCACTCATAGGGAGAGTCACGGAAAGAGCCGAAGCATCTGTAGGTTCCTCCGTGGGTGGCAGGGCCCAGAGGAAAGTCGGCCTGGAATGTTCCGTTGACCTTGGGCCCTGCAGAGAACCTACGTTCATGGGCCTCCCCCTCCCTGGATAGATGGTACATGTCATAGGAGCTCCGGGAGCTGCAGGACAAGGTCACGCTCTCTCCTGCCAAAACCGTGGGGCCCGGCTGGGCTGAGAGAGAAGGTTTCTCATATAGACCTGGAAGGAGAAGAGGCATTTTCCTCAGGGAGGATCTTCCTTGTCACAGCTCCCTTCACCTGAGCTGAGAACTCACTCCCCTGCTCTATGACCTAATGCTCTCTCTCTCTCTCTCTCACCCTCCACCCCATCTCTCTTCATGTCTATTTCCTCCTTCCACCTTCTCTGTCTCTCTAGGTCTCTGACCTCGCTTCCCCACCTCTAGATATGTTTTCCCTTTTTGGATTCTTTTATTCTCTCTGACTCTCCTTGGATTGGTTGACTTGATGTTACTTTTTTAAATTCTAAGTTTCTCACGTTGTGTCCTGTTCATAACTTTCTGCATATTTCTATCTATTATCTGTCGATCTATCTATTTATCTATTCGGTGCCTATCTACAAATTCTCTACCTGTCATCTATATCTATATATCATCTATGTATCTATCAGTTGTCTATCTATCCATCAATCATCTGTTATTTATATGTATGTATCATCTCTCTCTCTATGATTTCTGTCTGCCTCTCTATCTGTACGTATTATCTATCTGTCTTCATCATCATCATCTCTATGTATTATCTATTAATGAATCAATCAATCATCATCTATGTATCTTTAACCTATTATCTATCATCTACCTATTTATCATCTATCTATATCTATCCATCTATCATCTGTCTTGCTCTGCCTCTCGGTCTCTCTAGTTCTCTTTGGAATCTCTGCAGTTCATCCCCACATCTCCATCTTTCTATGTCCTTGTGCCTCTCCCTCAGGACTCTAATTTTAGTGCTTTTCTCTGCTCCCTTCCATCATTCTCACCACTCCTCTGCCCTCTTTTCTCTCTCTTTATGTGTCAGTGAGTCTCTCAATCTCCTTCCTCTGGCCCATTCTCTGTGTGTTTATGTCTTTGCTTTTTGGTGTTCCTGATTTCTCTCTGTGCCTCTCAGTGATCCTTTCATATGTGGGGTTATTTGGAATGTGAGCCTCAGAATCCAGTCTGGAGACCACAAGTTCACACAGCATACAGGGGTTGGTGTTCTGGGGCCATGATATCCTGGGACGGTTACTCTCCATTACATGGAAGGCAGAGGTGTCAGAATAAACATGGCCTGTAGGTGCCACAAGGCCTGAGGCCACAGGGCCCAACTCAGGTCAGAAATATGGGTGTCCTTGGGTTCTCCTGGTAGAGAACACTTTGTGGAGGTAAAACAGAAATGAAACTTCTATCCTGTGCCAGGTCTGTGAGCAAAGTCAGCATGGAGGGACACCTCTCTCTGGGACATGTCTGTCTGTCTGTCTCCTTTAACTCTTTCTGTCTTTTCTAACTCCCTGTATGGCCCCTGTGTCTGTCCTCCGTTATGACACCTGGTCTGTACTTGTGTCTCCTGTTTCTCTGTCTCTGTTGGTACAAACCTCAGCAAGTCAGTCTCTCTCCATAAGAATACCAAGCTCATCTTCCTTACAACTACCTGGGGGTTCCAAGTCGTGGATCATTCACTCTGCAGCCCAATGACAATGAGAATGTCCGGACACTCTCACCTGTGATGACGATGTCCAGAGGGTCACTGGGAGCTGACAACTGATAGGGGGAGTGAGTAACAGAACCGTAGCATCTGTAGGTCCCTGCAAGGTCTTGCATCATGGGACCGATGGAGAAGTTGGCCTTGGAGACCCCATCATGGTGCTCTCCAATGAGGTGCAAAGTGTCCTTATACTTCCCCTCTCTGTGCAGAAGGAAGTGCTCAAACCTGACATCTGACCAACATTGCAGGATGACTGTCTCTTCTGATTTCACCAGGGGACCTGGGTGGGCCAGGAGGGAAGGTTTTCTGTGGACTCCTAAGAAGAGAGGTTGTGAGTTTAGAAGGTGTCTCTCTTTATCATCCCATCCATGGCACCTAGAATGAGTGAGGCTTCCCCTTGCTGGTGTCTGTCTCTCTCCTTCCTCTCTGTGTCTTCATGTTCTTTTCTGTGCCCATAACTCCTGGTGCAGGTCCTTCCATCTGTCTCCCTCCCTCTTCTCTGTCCCTCTGTCTCTAGTAGCCTCTGATTCCCTTCCCACTGGGCTTAGCCTCATCTCTTGGGGTGTTGTATCTATTTCACACTAACGTCTTTCCTGCTGTTTATGTGGGGGTGAAAGAGGAACCAGGATAGGCTGCACATCCAGGCTCTTATCAGCCTTGTTCAATCTCTTTTGGATGAATTGCAATCCTTGGCAGAAGGTATGAACTGATGAATAAGGCAGGCACCAGTGTCCACACACCCTGTTCCTGGTCGGGACTGGGAGCCACTCTTGCCATGCCTGTGCCTTCTCCATGGTGCCAGCTTCCATAGGCTGGCTCCTGGTGCTGGTTGGAGGAGTATCAACCCCTCCCTATGTGGATGGAGCCTGGTGGTGGCATCATCATCCCACCCTTGCTGATCTCAGGGTAGCCAACCTTCTCCTTGTTTGGTTTCTTTAATTAATTAATTAATTTTGGAGACAGAGTCTCACTCCTTCACCCAGGCTGGAGTGAAGTGGTGTGGTCTAGGCTCACTGCAACCTCTGTTTCCTGGGTTCAAGTGATTCTCCTGCCCTCAGCCTCCTGAGTCGCTAGGATTACATGCGCCTGCCACCATGCCTGGCTTTCCTTGGGTTGTTTCTTAACTTGTCCTTGACCTGGGTTCCAGTGTTGGTTTCCTGTTGCTGCTGTACAAAATTATCAGAAGCATGGAAGCAGGAGAGACCACACTGACACCTTCCAGTACTGGAGACAGAAATTGGACCCTATTTTTCCTGGGCTAAAATCAAGGCATCTGCAGGGCTTCGTTTCCTCTGGAGACTCTGGAGAATCAGTTCCTTGACTTTTCCAGCCTCTATAGGCCACCTGCATTCATGGCTCTTGGCCTTCCTCCACCTTCAAAGCTGGTGAAGACTTCCACTGGACTGCTCTAATCCCCACTCCCCTCTTCCTCCTCCTTTCATGTGCACCCTTGTGATTACACTGAGCCCAGTGGGACAGTCCAGGCTGTCTCCCCATGAGCTCCATCTTCCCCTTCAGTCCCTTCCCCTATAACATACATAGTCACAGACTCCAGGGATTAGAATGTAGTCATCACTGGGGACAATTATTCTTCCCACCACAGCACCCATTTCCCTGTATTCAATCCCCCTTTACCACAAATACAGTCAGGGCCTGCGTGATGGGACCCTCAAGGACATGCCCACCAGAAGCTCTGGGATTCAGGAGGTGGGACAAGGAGAATCCAAGACAGGAGCCCTCTGACCTATGACCACGATCACCAGGGGGTTGCTGGGTGCTGACCACCCACTGGGGGAGTGTGTGTGTGAACCCCGACATCTGTATGTCCCTGTTGTGCGGGGGTCACAGGGCCCATGAAAAGGCTGTTCCAGAATATTCTGTTGTAGAGCTCAGGGACAGGCACCCCACCTTCCTTGTACAGACTGAAGTTGTTAAACCCAAGATAAGAGTGACACCGAAGAATGACATGTCCTAGAGGCACCACAAGGCTGGGCCAGGCAGACAGCAAGGGCTTGTCCTGACCACCTTGGGGAGAAGGAGGCGCCGCCTTAGAGAGGAGGATGTGGAACTGCCCCTCCCTCCCTGTGCTCAGAAGATTCTCCTCGCTTTCCACGTTTCTATGGCTACTATCACACCTTGGTGCCCAGGGCTGAAGGAAGGACCCATCCCGCAAAGACATGGTGTCTCCCTACAACAAAAGCCTCAGCTGAGAACTTTGAGCAAGTGCTGAGTAAAGAGACTCCTACTAGATTTTAATACTGTAAGATTACTCACATAAAACAACACAGGGTAGACATGAGGTGGAGGGCATGTCCTTTGTGAGTGGATATCAGCGGATGCCTGAACGAAAATAAACAACTGAGCCCCCATCAGAGGATTTGGAATGTCAGGGCCATGGCTGTGGTTTCCCACCTCTTCTGGTAGAATGACAGCAGCCACACTGCAGCCCCTACCATCATGGAAACGCTGAAGTGTGTGAGTAACACCTTTGTCCTCAGAGGATCTGCTGTTCCTACCACTTCCCCACCACACACCCCAGCTTTGAGCACCCCAGTCTAACCCTGGTCCCCACAGAACTTGACTCTGCCAAGGGGTTGAGAGGCCAGGGAGGCAAGGTCAGAAATGTGGGCCGAGCACCCCAGGGTCCTCTCTTCCCAGTTTATGAGAGACTCCCTGACAGGACTTCCCTCCTGTTTCAGGAAAATCCTCTTATGTGGGGAGATGACAACCGAAGGTTTGGAGAAGGACTCACCCTCATGTGGCCAGGCCCCCTGCAGCAAGAAGAACCCTGGAAAGAAAGATCATGATGGACCATCCATCTGCAGGCAAACCAGGACTCCCTTGCTGCCCCCACTGGGCTGTGAGTCTTGGCAGCCAGGCCCTTCCTGGGCTGAAGTTAAACTCACCCTCAGTGCCTACCTGCACCCAAGAACAGGGCTGTCGGCTGTGCAGAGACCCAGTTTCCAGGCCCAGATCCCCACCACAAGCCC
Source organism: Homo sapiens (assembly GCF_000001405.40). Classification (NCBI taxonomy): domain Eukaryota; kingdom Metazoa; phylum Chordata; class Mammalia; order Primates; family Hominidae; genus Homo; species Homo sapiens. The sequence continues at coordinate 26,747 of NW_016107310.1, read as the reverse complement.
ATATCTCCACTCCAGGCTGATATTTCCACCCTAGGCCCATATCTCCAATCCAGTCCCATATCTCTGCCCCAGGCCCAGATCTCCACCCTAAGCCCATATCTCCACTCCAGGCCCATATCACCTCTCCAGTCCCATATCTCCACACCCAGGCCCATATCTCCTTCCTAGGCCCATATCTCCACTCCAGGCCCAGATATCCACCTCTAGGCCCATAACTCCACTCCTGGCCCATATCTCCACTCCAGGCCCATATCTCTACTGCAGGCCCGTATCTCCACCTCCAGATCCATATCTCCACTCCAGGCCCATATCTCCACTCCAGGCCCATATCTCTACTGCAGGCCCATATCTCCATCTCCAGGCCCATATCTCCATCTCCAGGCCCATGTCTCCACTACAAGCCCATATCTCTACTGCAGGCCCATATCTCAACCTCCAGGCCCATATCTCCACTCCAGGCCCAGATCTCCACTTCTAGGCCCATCACTCCATCTCTAGGCCCATAACTCCACTTCCAGGCCTATATCTCCAACTCTGGGCCCCGATCTCCATCCCCGCACTCCCTCCCTCGATTCCCTTCCAGGACTCACCAACACACGCCATGCTGACGACCATGAGCGACATGGTGCTGTCTGTGCAGACAGGCGGCCGCGCCCCAGCTCAGCTCAGCAGCGCACAGGATGTTATTTGGCGCCCTGCCCATGCAGTTTACATGTTGACCACATCATGGGAGGGTGACGTACGCAGGCTCTTTCTACCTTGCATGAGGCCCAGTGGGTGCTCGCTCAAGAGCGGAACATGGCTTCCTGGAAATTGTTCTCACTAGAATTGACACCTTGCGTCCTTCACTACGACCAGACTCAAAAGACGTCTCAGATCCAACCTCTCATACACGAGATGATTGAATTCTGTGCTTACATTAAAGATTTTTGATGTATTTTTGTTTTTATCTGAGATTCAAACTCTTCTTCATGTGCTATTTTCCCCAGGCTGTTCTTTGACTTCAGAGTTCAAGCAATCCTCCTGCCCCAGCATTTCTAGCAGCTGGCAGTATGTCACAATCTGCCACACCCAAGTCACAACTTTTAGAACTTTTTTTTTTTTTGAGACGCAATCTCACTTCGTCACCCAGTTTGGAATGCAGTGGTGAGACCTCGGCTCATTGCAGCCTCCACCTCCCAGGTTCACGCAATTCTCGTGCCTCAGCCTCCTAAGTAGCTGGATTTACAGGCACCCACCATCACGCCCACCTAATTTTTGTACTTTTAGTAGAGAGGAGGTTTCTCCATGTTGGCCAGGCTGGTCTTGAACTCCTAACCTCAAGTGATCTGTCTACTTCAGCCTCCCAAAGTGCTGAGATTACAGGTGTGAGCCACCATGCCTGGCCGGGACATTCTATATGTGTGCGTATGTGTGCGTTTATATACATATGGTTATACACACACACACACACACACACCCTAAGCACTCACATATATAGTTGTTTCAAATTTTAAAAAATATAAATTTTGTATTTTTCTTTCTTTTTCTCACATTTGTGTTTCTATGACACCATATACATATTGAATTTTATAGTTCTATTTTATTCTTTTGGATTGCAGTTTAATAGTCCATACATAACTTTATCAACATGTAATTATCCACTCTTTTTATCATGGACATTTGTGTTGTTTCCGGATTTTCTCTTTTATAACTCGGGCCTTGATAATCGTGTTTCTGTGTGATCCCTTGCATACATATGCTGAATTAATTAGACATATTTACCTAGGAATGAAATTATTGGTTTTGGGTGCAAGTTGGTGTTGAGCTTAACCAGGAAGTGCCAAAATATTTCCATCATGACCAAATGTGGCCTGGAAAGTTTTTTGGGGTCAATTTTCCTGTTTCTTCTAAGGAACAAAATTGATGTCACTGATTTTTCTGTCCTGTTTGTCATTTATGAATATACGTACATATGCACGTATATATTTGCTTGCCATTTTATGTTTTTCCTCGACGTTACTTTGGAATTAATTTGCTGATGTGTAGTATTTCTGCAAGCGAAAGTTACCTATTTACTCAGCTCTTCCTTCTTTTCTAACACAGACATTTGAGGCTTATTTTCCTTTAACACTGTTCTATCTGTATCCCCAGTCATTTGCCGAGATGTGTTTTCATTTTTAATTGATACAAAATATTTTCCACCTTTCTTTGAAATGTTTTTCTTCCACTCATTGTTTATTGCTATGTGTGTTTATTAATTTTAAAATATTTGATAATTTCCCCAGCATTTCCTTGTTGTACATTTATAATTTAATTCAACTGTTTCATCTATCATATTACCTATGATTCAGCATTTAAAAATTTATTTTGGTGAATGTTCCAGGGGTGCTAGACAAGTTTGTGGATTAGGAAGATTTGAGGTGGATGTTTTCTAAATGTCAGTTAAGAAAAAAATCATTCAAATGTTTTTCTTTATTTAAAAAAAATAGAGACGGGGTCTCACTATGGTGCCCAGGCTGGTCTCAAACTCCTGGCCTCAAGTGATCCTCCCATTTTGGCCTCCCAAAGTGCTAGGATTATTGAAATTATTAAATGTTTCATATCAACACCCAACCTTATGCACCCGCCGCCTACACAAATGTTTTTCAAGTCTTTCATATGCTTAATAATTTTCTGTGTACTTGTTCTGGAAGTGAGGTGAATGTTGCTATCTCTAGCTGCAATTTGGATGTGATTGATTATGTTTTGAATTATGCCTTTAATTTAATGTGTTTTGAGGTTCCAGCTTTAGGTGTGTAGGCATTTAGGATTATTATGTCTTATTTATGAATTTGCCTCTTTGTCATTATGAAGTACTCCTCTTCATATCTCCATATATCTCTTCTTTGTATGTGCATGGTGAAATATTTCATTCTTTGAGTTAAGAAACTTCTATTGAGGAATACTTTTTATTACAAACATTTACCTATTCTATGTATACAACTGACTAGAAGCATATTTTGCACTGGGCATTATCATGACAATGTAATGTCATTCTTTCAATATTTACATCTTGTGGATTAGTATTTGAAGTGCAGCTTATGTAGACAGCATAAGGTTGGGTGTTGATATGAAACATTTAATAATTGCACACGTATTTGCCTCTTGGGATACTTCCACTTTTTTGAATTTCAAGTTACTAAATGGTATCATTAATCTTTGCTTCAAGAGCTTAACATTTATTGTAGAACAATGCTTCATGTAATAAATTGTGAGACATTTTTAATGGCACCTTTATTGCAGGAAAATGTTTTCCTTTTCAGGTTGAAAGATTCTAGTTTGAAATATTTTCTTGTAGCACTTTAAAAATGTTGGTCCACCTATTTCTTACTTTCATAGTTTTGAATACAAAGTTTGCTGTCATTCTTGTATTTCTTCTTCTGTTTTTTATTTATTTATTTTTGACAGAATATCTTGCCGTCTCACCCAGGCTGGAGTGCAGTGGCATGATCTTGGCTCACTGCAACCTCTGCCTTCCAGGTTTCAGCAATTCCTGCCTCAGCCTCCTGAGTAGCTGGGACTACAGGCATGCGCCACCATACCCAGCCAATTTTTTTTTTTGTATTTTTTTTTTGTAGAGATGAAGTTTTGCCATATTGGCCAGAACTCCTGACCTCAAATGATCCACCTGCTTTGGCCTCCCAAAGTGCTGGGATTACAGGTGTGAGCCACTGTGCTCAGGCTATTTATTCCTTTTTATATAATATGAATTCACATTCATACATACCAGGGGTTAGGATTTCAACAAACGTTTCTGGGGGAGACCACTCAAAACACAGCACTCATCCTTGGTTATTTCCAGCCATGGAGCCTGTATCAATATCCTGGTGAATTATCTAAGCTGTCCACCTACCTACCCCAAATCCTCATGGTCACATAAAAGGCTAGTATAGTATAATAATTTTTCTTTCCCTGCTTATCTACAGTGATGAAGAAACGAATATTCAAAGGGAAAAATCTTAGCTTTAGGTATAGGGTAATTCTTCTTCCTATTTTTAAATAACTTCAACCTTTACTGTAGATTAAAGGTATGCATGCAGGTTTGTTACATAGGCATATTGTGTGACTCTGAGGTTTGTGGTTCCAACAATGCCATCACCCAGGCAATGAGCATAGAATCCAACAGGTGTTTCTTCAGCCTATACCTCCCTACTCCTCCCCCCATCTGTAGTCCTCGGTATCTGTTGTTTCCATCTTTATGTTCATGTGTATTCAATGTTTGGTTCTCAGTTATAAGTGATAACATGTGGTATTTGGTTTTCTGTTCCTGGGTTAGTTCACTTAGGAGATTGACCTCCTGCTACATTCATGTTGCTGCAAAGGACATGATTTCATTATTTTTTATGGCCATGTAATGTTCCATGTGTATATGTAGCACATTTTCTTTAACTAATCCACTGTTGGTGAGCACTTAGGTTGACTGCAAATCTTTGCTATTCTGAATTGCACAGCAATGAATATACTAGTGCATGTGTCTTTTTGACATAGTTAATTACCTTCCTTTTGGTATATACCCAGTAGTGGGATTGCTTGATTGAATAGTAGTTCTATTTTAAGTTATTTGAGAAGTCTCCAAACTGCTTATCACATTGGCTGAACTAGTTAACATTCCCACCAAGAGTGTATAAGTGTTCCCTTTTCTCCACAATCTTGTCAGCATCTGTTATTAAAAAAAACAAAAAACTTTTTAGTAATTGCTTCTGCTTCTCTGATTGTTGTGAGATGGTATCTCACTGTGGTTTTAATTTGCATTTCTCTGATGATTACTGATAATAAGCATTTGTTCATATGTTTTTTGGCCATGTGTACATCTTCTTTTGAGAAGTGTCTGTTCATGTCATACTTAATTGAGGTTTTTTGGTTTTCTGCTTGTTGATTTGTTTACATTCCTTATAGATTCTGGATATTAGAACTTTGTCAGATGCATAGTTTGCAAATATTTTCTCCCAGTCTGTAGGTTATCTGTTTACTCTGTTGATACTTTCGTTTGCTGTGCAGAAGCTCTTCAGTTGAGTTAGGTCCCAATTTCTGTCTTTGTCACAATTGGTTTTGGGGAGTTAGCCATAAATTCTTTGCCAAAGTCTATCTTGAGAAGGATATTTCCTAGGTTTTCTTCTAGAATTTTAATATTTTGAGGTTTTACATTTAAATCTTTAAACTATCTTGGGTTAATTTTTGTATATAGTGAGAGTTAGGGGTCCAGTTCTATTATTTTGCATATGAGTAGTCAGTTATCCCAGAACTATTTATTGAAGAAAGGGTACTTTCCACATTGCTTGTTTTTGTCAATTTTTTCAAAGATGATTGTAGGTATGTAGCCTCATTTCTGGGTTCTCTATTCTGTCTCATTGGTCTATGTGTCTGTTTTTGTAGTAGTATCATGCTGTTTGGGTTACTATAGCATTGTAGTATAGTTTGAAGTTGGGTAATGTGATGCCTGGGCTTTGTTCTTTGTGCTTAGGATTCCTATGTGTATTCAGGCTCTTTTTTTGGTGCCAAATACATTTTAGAATAAATTTTTATAATTTCGTGAAAAATGACATTGCATTTTGAAATGGATAGCATTGAGTCTGCAATTTGTTTTTGGAAGTATGGCGATTTTAACTATTTGTTCTCCTAATTCATGAGCATGGAATATTCTTCCATTTGTTTGTATCATTTCTTATTTCTTTCAGAAGTGTTTTGTAGTTCTCCTTGTAGAGAATTTTCACCTTCTTGGTTAGATGGATTCCTAGGTATTTTATTTTCTTTGTGGCTAGTGTAAATGGAATTGTGTTCTTGATTTAGTTCTCAGCTAGAATGTTAGTGGTGCATAGAAATGTTACTAATTTGTGTACATTTTTTTAATCCCGAAACTTTATTGAATTTGTTTATCAGTTTCAGGAGCCTTCTGACAGAGTCTTTAGGGTTTTCTATGTATAAAATTATTTCATCAGCAAAGAGAGACAGTATCACTACTTCTTTTCCAATTTTAATGCCTTTTATTTCCTTCTCTTGCCTGATTGCTTTGGCTAGGACTTCCAGTACCATGTTGAATTAAAATGGCGGGAGTGGTCATCCTGGTCTTGTTTCGGTTCTCAAGGGGTATGGTTCCAGCTTTTGCCCATCAATATGATGTTGGCTGTGGGTTTGTCATAGATGGCTCTTAATATTTTGAGGTATGTTCCTTTGATGCCTATTGACAGTTTTTATCATGAAGGGATGTTGGATTTTACAGAAAGCTTTTTCTGCATCTATTGAGATGATCATATAGTTTTTGTTTTTAATTATGTTTATGAGGTGAATCACATTCGTTGACTTTGTAGGTTGAACCAACCTTGCATCCCAAAAATAAAGCTTACTTGATCATGTGAATTAACTTTTGATGCACTGACAGATTCAATTTGCTAGCATTTTGTTGAGGATTTTATGTCTATGTTCATTAAGGATATTTAGTTGTAGTTTTCTTTTTTTCATTATGTCTCTGACAGATGTTGGTATCATGGTGATGATGGCTTCATAGAATGAGTTAGGAAGAAGCCCCCACTCCTTGATTTTTTCCAAAAGTTTCAGTAAGATCGGTATCAGTTCTTCTTTGTATGGCTGTTGGATTTTGGCTGTGAATCCATCTGGTCCTGGGCTATTTTTAGTTAGTAGGGTTTTTATTACTGATTAAATTTCTGAACTTGTTATTGGTCTGTTCAGGTTTTCACTTTCTTCCTGGTTGAAATATGATAAATTTTGTGTTACCAGGAATTTATCCATTTCTTCTAGGTTTTCTAGCTTGTTTGTATAGAGGTGTTCATAATAGTCTTTGACGATCTTTTCTATTTCTGTGGGATTGTTCGTAACATTGTTTTGTCAGTTCTATTTGTGTTTATTTGGATCTTTTCTCTTTTTCTTTGTTAATCTAGCTAACAGTCTATGAATTTTGTTTATTTTTTTTCAAAGAAAAACTCTTGGTTTTATTTATCTCTTGTATGGACTTTTTGGTCTCAATTTATTCAGTTCTCTCTGACTTTAGTTATTTCTCATCTTTTGCTGGCCTTGGGTTTGGACTGTTCCTTTTTTTTAATAGTTCCTCTAGATGCAGTGTTAAGTCACTAATTTGAGATCTTTCTAAACTTCTGATGAGGCATGTATTGCTATAAATTTTCCTCTTATCACTGCTTTAACTGCATCCCAAAGGTTTTGGTAAGTTTGTTTCTATTTTTATTAATTTTAAATAATGTTTTGTGATTTCTGCTTTAATTTCATTGTTCACCCAAGAGTTCTCAAGGGGTACAGTTCCAGCTTTTGACCATTCAATATGATGTTGGCTGTGGATTTGTCATAGATGGCTCTTAATATTCATTCAGAAACAAGTTGTTAAATTTCCATGTTTTTCTGTAGTTTTGAGAGATCATCTTGGTATTTTTTTCTATTTTTATTGTGTGCCTTGTTATGATTTTGATTCTTTGAATTTATTGAGACTTGCTTTGTGGCCAGTCTTAGAATATGATATGTTTTTTGTGTGTGCAGATAAGAAGAATCTATATTCTGCAGTTGTTGGGTGGAGTACTCTGTAGATGTCTATGAGGTCCAATTGGTCAAGTGTTGTCTTTAAGACCAGAATTTCTTTGTTAGTTTTCTGTTTTAGTGATTCATCTGACGTTGTTAGTGGGATACTGAAGTCCCTTACTATTATTGTGTGGCTGTCTAACTCTTTTCATAGGTGAAGAATAACTTGTTTTATGAATCGGGGTGCTCCAAATTTGGGTGCATATATATTTAGAATAGTTAAGTCTTCTGTCAAATTGAACCCTTTATCATTTTGTAATGCCCTTCTTTGTCCTTCCTGATTGCTGTTGATTTAAAGTGTGTTTCATGTGATATAAGAATAGGAATGCCTTCCTTTTTTTTGTTTCCTGGTTGCCTAGTAAATATTTCTTCATCCTTTTACTTTGAGCCTGTGGGTGTCATTACATGTGAGATGGGTCTCTTGAAGACAGCAGGCAGTTGGCTCTTGGCTTTTTATCCACGTTGCCACTCTATGCCTTTTATGTGGGGAATTTAGGCCATTTACATTTCTTCTCCTGATATATCCTTTTTATATTTTTATGATTGCCTTTTAAAATATATTGAATGGTTGTAATTCCAGGGAAATGTCTTTCAGAACAGTATTTATTCCCATCTACATGTTTTGGAGAGTGCACTAGGGGACATTGAAGTTTATTTCCTGAAAAGAGTTTAATTTTAAAATGTATTTTATTTAATAACTCAATGATTCAGGGAATGTCTAGGTATTTCAGAGATTGTTTTAGACAGTTTGTTTTCTTGTGATATGTGACCACTTCATCTAAGCTGAATAATGTCTTCATAATGTCCACTTAGAATCTTTTGAATTCTGTAGGATCTGTACTGATGTCATTGTTTCCTTTCTGATATTGGTAATTTTCCTGGGGTAGGATTCTTAGCTCCTCCTGAGGTCCTGCCTCTAAAATTCAGGGAACAATGAGTCAGATTAGTACTCTGATTTCAAAGGGAAAGCTGATCATCTACCATTTTTTGTTTATGTAAATGGACACATTAACATCCCTTGTCTGAACCTTAGTTACCTTGTTTGGAGCATTTTGCTATAAATCTCACTTCTCAGAGTGGTTGTGGGGCTTGATGTGGCTGGGGTATGGGATGGCTTAAACATAATTTATTTCCAGACCAGGTTAAGGCATGAAGGGGTTGGGACTTGTTAGAATCCTGTTGTCGGACTCCACAGTAAGGGTAGACATTTGAGGCACCCAATCAAAAACCTCAGTTGTTCCTAGCACTGAGAAATTTGATAGAATGTTTCTAAAACATTATTCATGGTCTAATGCACAAAAAGTAAAGTGATAGCCCTGGAAGTAGACAGGGAACCATAAGAAAAAAGAGAGAGCAAAGCTCAGTGGTCACCAGTGCCTGGGACCATCAAGGGGTTATTAAGGAGGAAGTTTCCACCTCTGTGGGGAACAGAAGAGGCTCCCTAGGGTCCACACACACAGGGAGTGAGCCAAGACTCTGGGCGAGGCTGGAAGCTCTGGGTCTCCTTCTGTGAGATTTTCTTTTTTTTTTTTGAGATGGAGTCTTGCTCTGCCACCCAGGCTAGAGTGCAACGGCGCGATCTCGGCTCATGGCAACCTCTGCATAAAGTGGTATGTATTTAAGGCATGCATTAGACAAATTACTAAGTATTTACTAGATAAGAAAAAATTATATCTGAATCTTTTCAAATTGCCGTCTTATGCATTATATTCTCTTTTTATAGTGCAATTTCTTAATAGTTAATGCCAGAAGATTTTTTTTTCTTCCTTTCTTTCTTTCTTTTTTTTTTTTTTTTGAGACAGAGTCTCACTCTGTTGCCAGGCTGGAGTGCAGTGGCACGATCTCGGCTCACTGCAACCTCCGTCTCTCGGGTTCATGCCATTCTCCCGCCTCAGCCTCCTGAGAAGCTGGGACTACAGGCACCCTCTACCATGCCCAGCTATTTTTTTTTTTTTTTTTGTATTTTTAGTAGAGACGGGGTTTCACCATGTTCGCCAGGATGATCTCTGTCTCTTGAACTCGTGATCCACCTGCCTTGGCTTCCCAAAGTGCTGGGATTACAGGCATGAGCCACTGCACCTGGTCGCCAAAAGATATTTTTAAAAACCTAAATGCCACTTGAAATGAATAAGACCCTCAATAATTCATGGGATATACATGTGAACTTATGACATATGATGAAATAAGCAGGTTACAAAATTGTAATATATCAAGCAAGGTAGAAAGCCATGGCAGAAAAAGAGACAAGCATTTTCAAGATAAGGAATGAAAGAGGGGAAACAGTACTATTGATTTTACAGATTTTACAAAGATATCTTAGGTGTGTTTTCCTAAATAATAAATGTACCCTCCTTTTGACCTTTATGTAATGAAATAACCATGCACACATTTTCAAATAATACTTCATTTACTTGACTTTATGCTTGAAAATTGAAGTATGGTGCTGTTTGTTATTTTCATTTATGCATTTTACTACCTTGTAATATTCCACTGAGTCTATTTACCACACTATGTTTATTTTTTTCGTAGGTGGACTTTGGTATTTTATAGCTTTGGCTAATAGGAACAGCATTCCTATAACAGTTGTGAGTGTATCATGACACATAAGTAGACATTTATCTCTAGGGTACATAATTAAGTACATAATTAAGAAGGGTCACAGCCATGTGCCTCCTCTTTTTAACTAGATAATTCCAATACACTTCCTTAATTGATTAAAGCAATTTGTACTCTTACTATTAATGTACTAAAATTCTACATGTTCAATATTCTTTCCAAAAAATGATTTTGCTACTTTTTTCTTTTCTTGAGACTGAGTCTTGCTCTATCACCCAGGCTGTAGTGATCTCGGCTCACTGCAACCTCCGCCTCCTGGGTTCATGCGATTCTCGTGCCTTGGCCTCCCAAGTAGCTGGGATTACAGGCAGGCGCCACCATGTCTGGCTAATTTTTGTATTTTTAGTAGAGACAGCGTTTCACCATGTTGGCCAGGCTGGTCTCGAACTCCTGACCTCAGGTGATCCTCCTGCCTCGGCCTCCCAAAGTGTTGGGATTACAGGCATGAGCCACCACACCCGGCCTATTTTTTTCTTTTCCCTCCATTGTGCTATGATTTTTGACATTACAATTTTACTGAAACTACACCATAAGAATGAAGCAGAAATTATTATAACCTTTAAATAAACTTTACAACTGGTTCATACTCGTGTGAACGACAATTCTTTTGACTACTTCCCAACTGTGCATTCAATGGCGTCATATGGGCACCCTGAAGTTGGCCATAAAGGACGTATTTATACCACACTAATCAGCAAATACCATAAATCTGGGGCTTTATATGTTCAGAGTTTTCTTAAGAAAATAATTTTTTCAGAGAGCCAGTTTAACAGAATACCATGAGGCTGAGCCTTCGAGCGTTAGTGTGCTCATTCTGAGAGATGATATTTCTGGACAAAGTACACAGGTATCATCCGATGAAGAGTGAAGGGAATTCAGGGTCCAGAGAGGGTGCTAGGGCATCATTTCAGACTCATATTTCCCTTTTTTTTTTTTTTTTTGGAGATGGAGTCTTGCTCTGTTGCCCAGGCTGGAGTGCAGTGGCAAGATCTTGGCTCACTGCAACCTCCGCCTCCCGGGTTCAAGCTATTCTCCCGCCTCAGCTTCCTGAGCAGCTGGGATTACAGGTGCTCACTGCCACACCCAGCTAATTTTTGTATCTTTTAGTAGAGACAGGGTTTCACCATGTTGGCCAGGTTGGTCTCGAACTTCTGACCTCAAGTGATCCGCCCACCTCAGCCTCCCAAAGTGCTGGGATTACAGGTGTGAGCCACTGTGCCTGGCCTCAGACTCATGTTTCAAAGTCCCAAATACAAATCTGCCCACCTATTCCAGTTATTTAATCCAGATCTATGCTCAGAACTGAAAAGATGGAGAATCAATAGTTCACTTTAGAGAATGCGGTAGTTGGAAACAAAGACAAATGTATTACATGACAGTGGACCAGAGCACGTGATCGCAGGGGTGTGGATGCAAACCCACCATGGGGGACGTGCCTTCACATCACAGAGAGCGAAAGGAAGGGAGGGGCAGACACGGAGGATCCACAACAGCAGGACTGAAAGCACTGCCATTTAATGGAAGTTTAATGGAGGAAGCGTTCTCTACAGGCACCCAGACATCTTCCTGAACCTGACCCAAGCCTCCCCTTCTCGACTTTCTCAGTAGACGGTTTCCCGAATGATGGTCCAGACTTTCTTCCAGAACCTCCTAGGACTATCAGATTCATTGCCAAGGCTCTGGCACTCTGAAGGGTGCATTGTTCTCTCATGTATTTACCTCCTTGCTGCATCTTGGGGACTTCTCTAGCTGTGCCAGTCCTAAAGCAGCAGAATCCCGAGGACCACCAGGACCAAGCCAGCCACAGCCACGCGGATGAGATTCTCCACTGTGTAATCCTGGGGGTGTGAGGCTGGGGATGGTGGACCAAGAGGTCTCAGAGGTCAGGGCAGATCAACATCACCCGGGACCCCTGGATGTCCACCCAGGGCACCCACCTCCCCTTCACAGGACCTGACCCTCTGTGCCAGCCCCATAACCGAGAGCATCTCCTTACACACCAGTCTTGGAGTCTGTCTTGTTTTGCGATGGGCTGAGGGTCTCAGCTGCTCCTGAGAATCAACCAAAAAAGGGGGAGGTGTGTGAGGAGTTGAAGAGACTTAAGCCAACATGTCCCTCAGTTGCTGCATTCCTTTGTGTCTACACTTCTCCTAACTGCTCTGTAGTTGTGTGATAGAACCTTTCCCTGCCGTGGCAGAGGTACATTCGCATACATACATACATATATGCATAGGTGTAAATATGTGTGTATACATAATATGTGTTATGCATATGTGTATACATAATATGTATTATGCATATGTGTATAGATAATATGTATTATGCATATGTGTATGCATAATATGTATTATAAGATATAGTGTGAGTATATATAAATATATAATATATAAGATATATAATAGTGTGTGTATACATATAAATATATAATAAGATATGTAATAGTGTGTGCATATATAAATATATAATATATAATAAGATATATAATAGTGTGTATATATAAATATATAATACATAATATATTATAAGATATATAATAGTATGTATATATAAATATATAATACATAATATATAAGATATATAATAGTGTGTGTATATATAAATATATAATACATTATATATTATAAGATATATAATAGTATATATAAATATATAGTACATAATATATAATAAGATATATAATAGTGTGTGTATACATATAAATATATAATAAGATATGTAATAGTGTGTGCATATATAAATATATAATATATAATAAGATATATAATAGTGTATATATATAAATATATAATACATAATATATTATAAGATATATAATAGTATGTATATATAAATATATAATACATAATATATAAGATATATAATAGTGTGTGTATATATAAATATATAATACATTATATATTATAAGATATATAATAGTATATATAAATATATAGTACATAATATATAATAAGATATATAATAGTGTGTGTATACATATAAATATATAATAAGATATGTAATAGTGTGTGCATATATAAATATATAATATATAATAAGATATATAATAGTGTATATATATAAATATATAATACATAATATATTATAAGATATATAATAGTATGTATATATAAATATATAATACATAATATATAAGATATATAATAGTGTGTGTATATATAAATATATAATACATTATATATTATAAGATATATAATAGTATATATAAATATATAATACATAATATATAATAAGATATATAATAGTGTGTGTATATATAAATATATAATACATAATATATATTATAAGATATAATAATGTGTGGGTAATATAAATATATAATACATAATATATAAGATATATAATAGTGCATATATAAATATATAATACATAATATATATTATAAGATATAATAATGTGTGGGTATATATAAATATATAATACATAATATATATTATAAGATATAATAATGTGTGGGTATATATAAATATATAATACATAATATATAAGATATATAATAGTGTATATATAAATATATAATACATAATATATATTATAAGATATATAATAGTGTGTGAGTATATATAAACACATACATATATATTTGAAGTGAGAAGAGTATTATATAATTTAGAAACAAACAAGTTTGTCCTCCATTTTCTTGTGGTTAATGTAATTATTATCAATAAATCAGAAGAGATCATTTCGGAAAGGATTGAAAGGGAGTGTGTCTGTGGTAAGTTAATAGGAACTAAAATTAGCATACCCAAACCAATAGCTTTCTCATCCATACGTAACTAATTTTAGAAAATAGAAAGGAATCAAAGACTTTCAAATTATTCAAGTAGTAAAACAATGCTTAAAATTCACAATGTCCACAATTTTTATGAATACAACTTCAAGCATCTGCTAACTGTATAAAGTTTAATTTTAAATGTATTGGATACAAAGACATTATTAATGAGAAGTTATTCTCCATCATGAATGCACATATTTAATTTAATCCCAAAGAAAATCAGAGCACAGTTATTTTACATCATAACGCTACCTAACAAATTAAATGTGTAAATTATAAATGCCAGCATTGCTTTGAAATCTTCAGAAACAGAAAGAGAAACTAGATATGTGGACATAAAAAATAAAGGACAGAAAGGAATTGCACACGAGGTTTGCTGTTGAATAATTTGCCTGCATTGCTGCAGTGAGCAGGTGCATGATCTCCCCTTCGTCTCAGGTATGCACTGAGTATTTTGGGGCCGCCAGGGGAGCCCAGGTGGGGAGTGGGTGGGGCCTCCATCTTCTACCCTCAGCCTAAGCATGATTCCTCCAAGGTTTCTCCATATCTCATTTCAGCCCTCCCTGGCCTTTAGCCCCATCTGAGGTCTCTGGGGTGGGAGCCCAGGATTAGGAGGTCCCTGACTATTTCCACCCTCTCATGGGCTGGGCCCTCCCCTGCCGACCCTCCCCCTTTACTCCCCTCTTTCCTTAGCGTCCTGAGCTCTCCTGGGGGCAGGGCCTGAGCTGAGGTTTGAGCTCAGAGAGGACAGGGTCAGCGGCCTCACCTGAGACCACGAGCTCCAGGGGGTCACTGGGGTGAGACAGCAGGTAGGGGAAGAATCTGCGTGAGCTGTAGCACCTGTAGGTCCCCGCGTGGGCTGAGGTCACAGGACTCATGGGGAATTCAGCCTGGTGCTGCTGAGCTTGGTGCTCTGATCTCAGACGCAGTGGGTGATGGGCTGCCCCCTCCTTGGTCAGAAGGAAAGTGTCCAACTGCTCCCGTGACTGACACAGCAGGGTCACGTTCTCTCCTGAGGCCACCGTGGGGCCCGGCTGCACCGAGAGGGAGGGTCTGCCACGGATCTGTCCTGGAGAGAAGAAGGATGGGTGAGGGGCTGCCCCACCTCGTTCTGAGCTGACACCTCCCCAGGCCTCTCCCTGGGACCCTCAGTGTCTCTGTCTCTGTTTTCTCTGAGTCTCCCCCTCCCCGCCCATCCCCTGTCTCTGTCTGTCTCTCCGTCCCTTAGGACCCCCACCCCTCATCCCGGCCATCACCACCTGGGCTCCCCCAGCAGGGCCTGTGCGGAGCCTGGGTCCCTGACTGAACCTGCTGGGCTCCTCACCTGCGATCAGGATGCTCAGGGGGTCACTGGGGGCCGACCACTCGGAGGAGAGGTTGTGTGCACCGTAGCATCTGTACTGGCCCCCGTGGGAGACCCTCACAGGGCCCAGGGTGAAGTTGGCCTGGGAGAGCCCAGCCTGGGGCTGCCGGCCAGAGCCCTGGACGAGGTCATGTCCCCCCTCCTTGTACAGAGTGAATTTGTCATAGCCGACATCAGAGCCACACTGGAGGGTCAGATTCTCCCCAGGGGCCACGACAGGGCCCTGCAGGGTCAGGAGGGAGGGCTTCCTAGACACGCCTGGAGGGAAAGAAGAGTCGGGACTAGGAGGGCTGGTTCCTCCCACACCCCTTCCTTCTCCCCTCCTGGCCCTGCAGGTCTCACTGTCTCTCACACTCAGTGTCTCTGGGCTCAGGAGTCCCAAACTTCCCTTGTTCCACCCTCCTACATGGGGCTCCGTGAGAGTAAGTTCTCAAAAATAAATAGGGCAAGGAGGAAGACATCCATACCTAAGACCAGGATCTCCATGGTATCACTGGGTTCCGACCACACCCAGGGGAAGTTCGTGTAATGCCCATAGCATCTGAACATCCACCGGTGACTGGCAGCCACACGGCCCACAGGGAACAGGGCCAGGGACAAGGGACAGCCCCTTGGAGAGTTCCTGTGAGTCCAGCATCCAGGAGAGCTTGTTTTCTCCTTCCTCAATCAAAATGAACCTGTGAAATCCCACCCTTGAGCTACACTGGATGGTCACGTTCTCTCCTGAGGTCACCACAGGGCTCGGCAGGGCTGAGAGAGTGGGTTTTCTGTGGGCTCCTAGGAGAGAAGGAGACACTGTCTTAAATGGGGCTCACGCGTCCCACATCATCCCCCAGGGCTGAGTTATTAGAACGGAGATGCCCTTGAGAGCTGACCCCCTTCCTGCAGGCAGAGCCTGGGGCTGGGACCCCTGAGTGTCCTCTTACCTGTCACCACCAGCTCCAGGGGCTCGCTGCGCTCTGACCAGCCTGCAGGGCTGAGATAGTGACAGTGGTATCTCCCTGCATGGTGCTCTCTCATGGATGGGATGAAGAAGTTGGTCTTGTTCCTGGGCTCTGGTGGGCTCTGTTGGTACCAGGTCATGGGGTTTCCTTCCTTGGTGAGATAGTAACCCTGGGTATCCAGGGTCCCCTGGCACCAGAGGGTCATGGGGCTCTCCCAGGTAATCACAGAGCCTGGCTCAGCCCAGAGGCTGGGTTTGGGGAGGGTCCCTGGAAGAAACCACAGGCTGGGGTCCACAGACCTCCCCCGCTCCTCATTCCCAGCTCAGGTCACAGACCCTCTTGATTTTCTCACCCTCAGTTCAGAAGCCCCTGAGATGAGAGTCCAGGTGCTGAGTGTGAGGTCAGGCATGGGAGGTTAGCAGAGACTCACCTGCAAGTGCTTGGGCTTTCTGGCCCAGACTCAGCCATGGAGAAGAGTTTCCTGTGGGGGATTTGGAACACAGAGGTGTGGCTGCTTCCCTTCCTGTTGGAGCACCAGTAGCCACTGGAGCCCTGAGGCTCTCTGGTGAACAAGGCTGCTGTGGGACCCTCCCCACCTCAGCCCAGTGCCCCTCCTGTCCCTCGTCTCTCCACCACTGACTGAGGCACAGAAGAACAGTGAGGATGGACACCATGATGCCTGCTCTGCGTGCTCCAGCTGTGGGACAGGTGACCACATGGCCCTCCATGACAGACAGATGCACGGATGTGGTTAAGTCAGAGCCTGCTGCCGCCTGCCTGGGTCCCCACAGCTGTGAACCCACAGGAAGTGGACAGCCCCTTGCTGGGCCTGTCTCTTATTCCCCCCCCAGTGCAGGGGCTCAGGAGGACCCAGGCCCTCTGCACACATCTCAGCCCAGACCTGAGGTGTCCCCTGATTGCCAGGGATCCTTTGTCTGAAAACCTGCCCGTGGAGGGTGGACCCAACATCATATCTATGTCAGCTCCCAACTTAGCTGGGTCTAAACTGAAAACACAGCCCTTATTTTCTCAGAGCCTCCACTCATGACATCGGCTTTCTTTTTCCCCACTGATGCAAAGACAAATATTTCCCAGCAGAAAGTCATCCTGATCTGGAGAGACCCATTTCCTGCGTTCAGTAAATAAAGTCAGTTTCATTAGGGGAGGCTCTGGGAAAATAAGGGGATGCAGACTAGCAGAAGATGAACATTTAGCTACTTGTTTCTCAATTAATTGATTTATTACCAAAGAGAGAGAAGTGGAAACATGAGAATAGGGACCATGACTAGAATGTGGTTGAGGGAATGGTTTCTATCTTATTCCCTGGCAGAGAACTAAGGGATAAGAATGAGAAAGCTGGCTGGGTGCAGTGGCTTACACCTGTAATCCCAGCACTTTGGGAGGCCGAGGCAGGAAGATCACAAGGTCAGGAGTTCAAGACCAGCCTGACCAACATGGTGAAACCCCTGTCTCTACTAAAAATACAAAAACTAGCTGGGTGTGCTGGCATGCGCCTGTAATCCCAGCTACTAGGGAGGCTGAGGTGGGAGAATCGCTTGAACCTGGGAGGTGGAGCTTGCAGTGAGCCGAGATCGCGCCACTGCACTCCAGCCTGGGCAACAAAGCCGGACTGTCTCAAAAAAAAAAAAAAAAAAAAAAAAAAAGAAAGAGAGAAAACCCAGCAGTGAGAGGTAGTTGTGAGAACACACTAAAGAGGAAAGATAATCCAGGGCTGGGAGTGGTGGCTCATGCCTGTAATTCCAGCACTTTGGGAGGCTGAGGCTGGCAGATCACAAGGTCAGGAGTTCGAGACCAGCCTGACCAACATGGTGAAACCCTGTGTCTACTAAAAATGCAAAAATTAGCTGGGTGTGGTGGTGGGTGCCTGTAATCCCAGCTACTCAGGAGGCTGAGGTGGGAGAATCGCTTGAACCCAGGAGACGGAGGTTGCAGTGAGCTGAGATTGCACCACTGCACTCCAGCATAGGCAACAAAGCCAGACTCTGCCAAAAACAAAAACAAAAACAAAAACAAAAACAAAAAACAAGAAAGCTCAGTGAGAGGTGGTTGTGAGAACACACTAAAGAGGAAAGATCATTCAGGGCTGGGAGTGGTGACTCACGCCTGTAATCCCAGCACTTTGGGGGGCCACAGGCGGGTGGATTACCTGAGGGCAGGAGTTCAAGACCAGTCTGGCCAACATGGTGAAACCTCGTCTCTACTAAAAATACAAAAACTAGCTGGGTGTGATGGCGGGTGCCTGTAATCCCAGCTACTTGAGAGGCTGAGTCAGGAGAATCTCTTGAACCCAGGAGGCAGAGGTTGCAGTGAGCTGGGATCGTGCCACTGTACTCTAGCCTGGGTAACAGAGCAAGGCTCTGTCTCAAAAAAATAAAAATTAGAAAGAAAAAAGGAGAAGGAGAAGAGGAAGGAGACAGAAAGGAGAGAAACATCCCTGAGGTGGAACATTACATGCAACATGGAGTAGGCAGGGAATCCGATAGAGCACTGAAACTCTCGCTGGGTACGGTGGCTAACATCTGTACTCCCAGCACTTTGGGTGGCCGAGGTGGATGGATCACCTGAGGTCAGGAGTTTAAGACCAGCCTGACCAACATGGTGAAACCCCATCTCTACTAAAAATACAAAAGGCTGGGTGTGGTGGCTCACGCCTGTAATCCCAACACTTTGGCAGTCTGATACAGGCGGATCACATGAGATCAGGAGTTTGAGACCAGCCTGGCCAAGATGGCAAAACCTCATCTCTACTAAAAATACAAACATTACCTGGCTGTGGTGGCAGTCGCCTGTAATCCCAGCTATGCAGGAGGCTGAGGCAGGAGAATCGCTTGAACCTGAGAGGTGGAGGTTGCAGTGAGTCAAGATCGTGCCATTGCACTCCAGCCTGGCCAATAGGAGCAAAACTCCATGTGAAAATAAAATAAAATAAAATAAAATATAATAAAATAAAATAATAAATCAAAAAAGGACTGGACATCTCCTGTGGGTTGTCAGTGAATGGAACTAAGCAAGCCACCGCTCTTTCCCTTTTGTCCCGCAAGTGTCTTTCTTGGCCTCCAGGAAGTGAGTTCCATCATGTCAGACCCTATGTTTGTTCCTGCTGGGTTCACTGAGGCTCCTCCCTTTCCACCTGTGGCTCCCCATGGGTTCCCAGTCCCCAGCCAGTGTTGTGAATCGAGCCAGGAAGACCAGCCCTATCACACCCCTCCTGATGGAATTCCCACAGTGTCATCCTGGAGAACAGGGGCTGGGGGCTGGGGTAGGATCAGAGACCTTTTCATGTGGGCCAGGCCCCTCCCTCCACAGGAGCTCTGACACGAAGCTCATCACCATTCATTTCACCCTGACGATATTCTTCCTGCCCAGACACCCCCGTTCTCCCTATGTCATCATGGGCACCTCAGTGAAATCCATGGTTGAGGGTCTCTGTCACTTACTCTGCCCTCTTCTTGGAAAATTTCCTTGGATCCTTCCAGAGCCCTTCCTGAGTGTG
Source organism: Homo sapiens (assembly GCF_000001405.40). Taxonomy (NCBI): domain Eukaryota; kingdom Metazoa; phylum Chordata; class Mammalia; order Primates; family Hominidae; genus Homo; species Homo sapiens. The sequence goes on along the minus strand of NW_016107310.1, from coordinate 6,978 downwards.
CTGCAGGGTCTCTGCCACATGACACACTCTCAGGAACCCTCATCCTCCCCTTAATCTACTGCGCCCACATAGCCAGGTGCAGGCTCCGTTTCTTCATCTTCCCTTCCCCACAGGCCCCGATGGAGAGTGGATTAGACTCGCTCCTGAGTAGGGACTCAGGTCACTCTGACCCCTTCCTCCCTGTGGACGAGGCCTCTGTCCCAGAGCTTTGGAGGCTGAAGGGCCTTGTGGATTCCCGCACTGGCCACAGTCTCCGATGCAGATGGGGAACTGGGGACCTGGGAGGGGTTGCCTAGCCCAAGGCCACATAGCTGGGCGGTGGCACAGCCTTCACTCACACAGGGACATTCCATCTTCCCAGGGACTTCACACTGGAGGCTAAGAGCCCCACTTTGCACACCACATTCAGGGGTAGATTCTGTGTGTGACTAACAAGTTCTCTTAGGGTTCCGAGGTAACAGGACAGCAAATGGATGAGTGAGAGTTTCCCTCACCCCACTGAAGTAGGACCATTCTCTGTGGAGGGTTGGTCCCCTGACTTCCTCTACTCTGTCATCTCCCTAGTGACTGATAGGGGTCCTGGGGTCTCTTCCCTGGAATCCCATGAGGGACAATTCCTTTCCTGAAGGGAAGGTATAGAGAGGACTAGCAGGTGCCTGGTGATGGAAAGTCCCCATAATCAAGAGACATTGCCTCCCCCCCCCGGCATGATAAATATCTGGGTTTCCAAATGGGAAATCTGTCTGTGATGAGAGCTCAGGAGGGGCTTCTGGAAGATGGAAAAGGGCTAGAGGCTGAGGCCACTGCTTATCTCCCCACACTGTATCTGGCTTCACCTCCTGTGTTTGTCCTGACCTCTTCCTTCACTCACCTGGATAAGTAGGACCCCAAAGTGGGCCTCCAGACAGGAAGCAGTGGAGAGTGTGGAGCTGCCCTGTCTACCACCCTACACCCTGACACCACTGTCATACTCAACCTCTCTTTTCCTCTTTGTGTTTCTCATTGCTTCATTTTGTCTGGAATCCCTAAGATTCCCATGTCTCCAGCAGGCTGTCCCTCAGACGTGGCTATATGATTTAGTGTTTCACAGGGCATGCAGCAGGCATGGGCTACCCCCAGTAACAGTGGTCATCTAGGGCTGATCACTCACAGGCAGAGCCATCGACAGAGAGCTGCAGCATCTAGAGGTCCCATCACCAGCCCCAAGACCCAGAGAGAAGTTGGCCTGAATGCCCCACTCTGTCTCTGCACCCCAGTGAGCCAGTGTCCAGGGGCCTTACCTTCCTCGTTAGAAGGCACAGGTCAAATGAGCTTCCAGAGCTGCAGAGCAAAGTCACATTCTCTCCATCATTACTTACTGCAGGGCACAGTTGAGCTGAGAAGGAAGGTCTCTTGTAGACGCCTGGGGAAAAAAATAGTCCTTGACTGTCGAGCACAAGCCTTACCCAGCCTATCCTCAGGGCATGAAAAAGGCATTCTCTCCACCTGTTCTGGGGAGCACACTCTGTTACCCACTCGTGCCTCTCTCCATCTCAGTTCTAGCTCTACAAGCTGGCTCATCATGTGTGTGTTTTCCTGTCTGTCTTTGCTCAGCTTTTCCTTGAATCTCTTGCTTTTTGCCGGTGCGTGTGTGGCTTTCTGCCCTTAGAACCATATGAGATTTAGGGTTCTCCTGGCACATAGAACTGTTTACTTTGAGGACCCTCAGAAAACATAGCCCTGGGCTAAGGCTCCCTGTCCTGGAACTAGAAGGTTATGGGTGTCACCATTTCCCAACAGCATGTCTGAAAGTGCCAGAATCTTCAAAGAGTCTGCAACATGTTTGTAGGATCTTTATAGGGTCTGATATTGCAGGGACCAACCAAAGTGCCCTCACACCCCAAGACGCTGGAAGTGACCCCTTGCTGAAAGTGGTTGGAAGTTTCACATAGAAGTTTGAGTTAAGCCACATTGCTGAGCAATGCCTCAGCATCCCAGTCTTCATCCAGACCTTCCAGGAGCCTGGCTGGAGGGGGTGTCTCTGGTGTGTCACTGAGCCTTATAGCAGAGGAAGGGGGCTATGGTGGAAACTACCTCCAAGATACCACTCAGTCCTAAGCTGGGGAACAAGCTGAGCTTGGATTCTGGTAGTGAATGAACCGGGAAACATTTATTTGAAGGGTTCTAAGAGTAGCATCGTGTGGGTGCGTTAATTGTATGTGAAGGGGAAGATCCTGAGAAAACAAGAGCTGCTCCACTCTGTGCCTGGGTTTACCAGAGGGACCGATGAGGTCCTCACAAGACCCAGGAATCCCACCGGGGGAAGGAGGCTTAGGGAGATGTGTTTAAGACTGTTAAGTGAGTCACAGACAGAAGCAGATCAAGCCATCCCACCACCTAGGTTTGTGGTTTTGTTTCTCCTAAACTTCCTTTCTGTAAGTAGCAGAACCTTCTCATCACCATCCTTCAAAACCTCTGCATTGTTTGAGCTCCTTGTATTTTCTGGAGATTAATCTCTTGCTTGCAAATATTCTTTCCCATTCTGTAGGTGGTCTCTTCACTCTGCTGTTTGTTTCCTTGATTGTGCAGAAGGTTTGCAGTTTGCTATGATCTCATTTGCCTATTTTTGCTTTTGCTGCCTGAGCTTTTGAGGGTTTTTTTTTTTTGTTTTTTTTTTTGAGACGGAGTCTCGCTCTGTCACCCAGGCTGGAGTTCAGTGGCATGATCTCAGCTCATTGCAACCTCCGCCTCCCGGGTTCAAGTGATTCTCCTGCCTCAGCCTCCCTAGTAGCTAGGACTACAGGCGAGTGCCACCACACCCGGCTAATTTTTGTATTTTTAGTAGAGGCAGGGTTTCACCACGTTTGGCCAGGCTGGTCTCAAACTCCTGACTTCAAGTGATCCACCCACCTTGGCCTCCCAAAGTGCTGGGATTACAGGCGTGAGCCACTGCGCCCGGCGTTGTATTGGATTTTTAATTCAGCCCTATTTTCTCCGACATTTGATATTGGCATTTTTGTCTTTTTTGGATATGCTAGGATCATGGTGTCATAATTTAATTTTAATTTTTATTTTTATTTTAAGTTCCGGGGTACATGTGCAGAATGTGTGGGCTTATTGCATAGGTCAATGTGCGCCATGGTGGTTTCCTGCACCTGTCAACCCATCACCTAGGTATTAAGCCCAGCATACATTAGCTATTTTTCCTAATGCTCTCCCTACCCCTACCCCACCCCCCCCCCGACAGGCCCCAGTGTGTGTTGTTCCCCTCCCTGTGTTCACGCATTCTCATTGTTCAGCACCCACTTGTAAGTGAGAACATGCAGCGTTTGATTTCCTGTTCCTGTGTTAGTTTCCTGAGGATAATGGTTTCCAGCTCCATCCATGTCCCTGCAAAGGACATGATCTTGTTTCTTTTTATGGCTTCATAGTATTCCGTGGTGTATATGTCTCACATTTTCTTTATCCAGTCTATCATTGATGGGCATTTGGGTTGATTCTATGTCTTTGCTATTGTGAATAGTGCTGCGATGAACACATGTGTGCATGTATCTTTGCAATAGAATGATTTATATTCCTTTGGGTATACGCGCAGTAATGGGACTGCTTTTACCTGTGCCAAAATACTGAAGTAGAAATGATTATTCACTCTAAAATGGAAGGTAATAAGATGTATACGTGAGCTATCAGATGCCTGGTGCTTATGAGTGAAGACAAGTCTGTCCAACGCTTCCCAACCCTGCATTCAGGGATGTCTCGTTGGCATCTTGATTATGGCCATGAAAAAAGAATTTACGTCAAGGAAATTGGTAAATGCCACTAATCATAGCATTTCAAAAAATGTCTTTTTCAGAATTAGCATACCATTGGGTCGTGACTTCAAATGCCAGTGTGTTGATTCCAGGTGGTGATATTTCAGGAGAAACTACACAGATAGCATCTGATAAGGAGGGAAGAGCTCATAGGGTCCACACAGGAGGTGAGGGCATCACGGTGCATTTATCTTTTCCTGGTCGGACTCTGATCTTCTCCCGTTGAATTAGTTCCTAAACCAGGTGCGGAACTCTGAACTGAAGACATGAAGACCCAGTAAAGTACACCAGGAAGTGTGGCAATGAGAAATGAAGAGGACTGTGTGACACGCCATGGACCAGAGCATGCAGGTGTGCAGAGGTGTGGACCCAACGCTGCCATGTGGGATGGAGCCTCATGTCTAAGTGTGGGAAAAGAGGCAGATCCAACCAAGGAAAGTCAACATTAATGGAGAGGAAAGGTATCACATTTTAATGGTTCTCCATGGATCACCCCAGAAAATGTCCCTGCACTCGGACATTGATTCCTTCCTCTGGAAATGACCAGCAGACAGTCCAGATAGCATCGGCCCTAGATTTTCTTCCAGAACCTCCTGGGATCATCAGATCTGTTCCTGAGGCTTCACGACTCTATAAAGTACATTATCCTCTCTGCTGTTCACCTCCCGGCTGCATCTTGGGAAGCTTCTCTGGCTGTGCCAAGCCTCAAATGACAGAATCCCGAGGACCACCAGGATCAAGCCAGCCACGCCCATGTGGATGAGATTCTCCACTGCGTAATCCTGAAGGTGTGAGGCTGGGGATGGTGGACAAAGAGGTCACAGAGGTCAGGGTGGATCAGATTGTCCACCCAGGGCACCCACCTCCCCTTCACAGGACCCAACCCTCAGTGCCAGCCCCATCACTGAGAGTATCTCCTCACATACCAGTCTCAGAGTCAGACTTGTTTTGTGATGGGCTGAGGGTATCAGCTGCTCCAGAGAATCAAAACAGAGAAAAAGAGACCTGAGCCCAGCCTCTCACCTGGGCTCTGCAATTTTTTTTTTATTACTTAATGTCTCATGATGTGACTTTTACAGAATTTCTAAAAAAAAAAAAAAAAAACCTCTTCCTCCGCTAGCAGGATTCCCTCTAGTCTCCTCATTGAACGATTTCAGTTTTCCTGTGTTCTATGGATTTAAACATTGCTCCTGAGTCATCTGGGAGAGAGTTTTCCTGCATCCTGAGAGCTCAGGATCTGCAAGGAAAGTGGTCCCCAGTACAGAGGTCACTAAGGCCTGTGTGCTCTCTGTGCAGCCTGGGACACAGGAGAACATGAGCCAACTCCCCCGGAGATGAGAGTTTCACGGATCCACCAGCTGAGGACCCAGGCTCCGTGGATGAGGGTTAGTCATCAGGGGAGCCTCAATGTCAGAAGCACAAAGGGGTGAAATTCTGGGGCTGCCTCCCCTTCATGCCCTCAGCCACTTCACCTGGAGTTTCATTGTCCATTTAATCTCTAGGTAGCTAATTATTCGTATAGGCAGCAACAGGTAGAATGTGATACACACACAGAAAAACACAAACACAAATATATATCTGTTTTATATATATAGTGGGCCTTAAAAACTATCTCTGCCTTCTTGAAGTGTGGGTTCACCTGGAGACAAACAGCAAACATATAGAAACACAGCAGTGGAAATTTACTAGTCGTAGCAATGGTTTTAGATATATTGGTAGAGACCTATATTTATGTGTGAATATATATTATTTGTATAGATATACGGATAACTAGGTTTCAATGTCACGTAAGATGTTGGTGTGACCACACACGCGCACACACACACACACACGTATATGCAGAGAGTGGAAGAGAGAGAGAAGGAATTCAGCCGCATGGTGTAGGTTGGTTAATTACTTGACATAAATGAGAAGCAGGCAGGACTGGGCTGAGCTGTGTCGTCAGTGAAGGTCACACTTGGAGGTGACATTGAAGCTGATTCCTCAATAGGAAAAAGGGCCAGGAAGGAGGCGTGTGGAGACCCAGACAGGGAGCAACAGAGGCTCCAGAAAGAGCAGGTCCCAGAAAGGTCTCAGCCTGTTCTTCAGAAAGGAATGGCCGCTTGTCTACAGGGTGGAGGAGGAGGCAGAGGAGGAGGGGAGATGAGCTTCGGGGCCTTGGTGGATTGAGAATAGGCCAGGATGAACCGGCCAGGAAAGAGCGGCCCCAATATCTCTCTCTCTGTCTCTCTGTCTCTGTCTCTGCCTCTCTCTCCCTCCCTCTGAGGTCTGGAAAGTGCTGTAGGGTTTCAAGGAGTGGTACCAGTCATTTGACTTTTTCTGAAAAGATAAGCCCTACCCCCTCCATAGCAAATGTCCAGAACGAAGGAAGTCCACATTTCTACCTGAAGTTTACAAAACCTCAGGGAGCACGTGAGATCAGGGCTATTACGAAACCGGGTGAGAATAAAAATAGGTGATGCTGCAAATCTACTTTCACCAGCTTGGACAAAAAGGCCAATATGAGATTTTAAAAACCCAAATAAAAAATGTCAACGGCGCAGAAGAGGAGCGGTGCACATTCCCTGAGCTGCTGCGGGAGCACGTGCAAGTCCCTGTGAGGCTCAGGTGTGCGCTGAGTGCTGGGGAGGCTGCAGGGGAAAGCAGGAAGTGGGGCGGGGTGGGGGGGGGTCGGGGGTGGATGCAGGTGGCACCGGCAGCCTGGATGCTTCTCTCTCCAGGAGGGCGTCTGTTGGGGACTGGGACACAGAGGCTCTGATTCTGAGGTGGAGACACCAGGATGGGAGCAGGTGGGGCCTCCGTCTTCCACCCTCAGTCTAATCTCAACTCCTTTGAGGTTCACCCCCCGTCTCCTCCCAGCCCTCCCTGCACTTTACTCTACTGAGACTTCAGGGGTGGGAGCCAGGGGTGGGAGGTCCCTGTCTATTTCCATCTTCCCATGGGCTGGACCCTCCCCTGCGGACCCTCTCCCTTCACTCCCCTCTTTCCTTAGTGTCCAGAGCTCTGCTGGGGGCAGGGCCTGAGCTGAGCCTTTGAGCTCAGAGAGGACAGGGTCAGCGCCCTCACCTGAGACCACGAGCTCCACGGGGCCACTGGGGTGAGACAGCAGGTAGGGGTCGGAGCTGAGTGAGCCGTAGCACCTGTAGGTCCCCGTGTGGGCTGAGGTCACAGGACTCATGGGGAATTC